>NT_187371.1:0-153799 GCF_000001405.40 Homo sapiens
GAATTCTTTCTATAACTCTATTCGATTCCATTCGATGATGATTCCATTCTATTCCATTCGATGATTCCATTCGAACTCATTTGATGATTCCATTCGAATTCATTTGATGATGATTCATTCGATTCCATTCGATCATGCTTCCATTCAATTGCATTCAATGATGATTCCATTCGTGTCCATTCGATGATACCGTTTGATTCCATTCGATGATTCCCTTCAATTACATTCGGTGATGATTCCATTCGATTCCATTCGATGCTGTCTCCATTGGTTCCATTTGATGATGATTCCAGTCGGTTCAATTCGATGGTGATTCCATTAGATTCCATTCGATGATTCCTTTCGATTCCATTCGTTGATGATTCCATTCGATTCCATTTGATGATGATTCCATTCGATTCCATTGGATGATGATTCAATTTGATTTCATTCTATAACTCTATTCGATTCCATTCGATGATTCCATTTTATTCCATTAGATGATTCCATTCGTTTCCATTCAATGATTATCCCATTCGATTCCATTCGATGATGACTCCAATCAATTCCAGTCAATGATGATTCCATTCACATCCATTTGATGATTCCATTCGATTCCATTCTATGATTATTCCATTCGAGTCCATTCAATGATTCCATTCGATTCCATTCGATGATGATTCCATCCGATGCCATTCGATGACTTCATTCAATTTCATTTGATGATGATTCCATTCGATTCCATTCTATGATTCCATCTGATTCCATTCAATGATCATTCCATTTGATTCCATTCGATGATCATTCCATTTGATTCCATTCAGTGATGATTCCATTCAAGTCCATTTGATGATTCCATTCAAGTCCATTCGATGATTCCATTCTGGTCCATTCAATGATTCCGTTTGATCCAATTCCATGATGATTCCATTCTGGTCCATTCAATGATTCCGTTTGATCCCATCCCATGATGATTCCATTCGAGTCCATTCAATGATTGCATTCGATTCCATTCGATGATTTTTGCATTCGGGTCCATTGGATGTTTCCATTCGATTTCATTCAATGATGATTCCATTTGATAACATTCGATGATTCCATTTCATTCCATTCAATGATGATTCCATTTGAGTCCATTCGATGATTCCATTCGATTCCATTTGATGATGATTTCATTCGAATCCATTTGATGATTCCACTTGATTTCATTCGATGACTCCGTTCTATCCCATTTGATCATTCCCTTCGATTCCATTTGATGATCATTCCATTCGATTCATTTCGGTGATTCCATTAAATTCTATTCAATGATTATTCCATTTGACTCCATTTGATGATTCCATTCCACTCCATTCGATCATGATTCCAATCGAGTCCATTCGATGATTCCATTTGATGCCATTCAATGATGATACCATTCGAGTTGATTCGATGATTCAACGCGATTTCATTCGATGATGATTACATTCCATTCTATTTGATGATTCCATTCGTTTCCATCTGTTGATGATTCCTTTCGTGTCCATTTGATGATTCCATTCAATTCTATTCAATGATGATTCCATTCGGGTCCATTTGATGATTCCATTGGATTTCATTGGATGATGATTCCGTTCGATTCCATTCGATGATTCCATTTGATTTCGTTCAATGATGCTTCCATTTGAGTCCATTTGATGATTCCATTTGAATCCATTTGATGATTGTTTTAGATTATATTCGATGACGATTCCATTCGGGTCCATTCAATGATTCCATTTGATTCCATTCAAAGATGATTCCATTCGGGTCCATTAGGTGATTCCATTTGATTCCATTCAATGATGATTCTATTCGAGTCCATTCAATGTTTCCATTTGAGTCCATTCAATGATTCCATTTGAGTCCATTTGATGAACCTATTCGATACCATTCAATGATGTTTCCGTTCAAGTAAATTCGATGATTCTATTCGAGTCCATTTGATAATTCCATTCAATTCCCTTCCATGATTCCATTCGATTCCATTGGATGATTCCATTCCAGTGCATTTGATCATTCCGTTCGAGTCCATTCGATGATTCCATTCAATTCCATTTCATGATGATCCCATTCGATTCCATTCTATGATGATTCCATTCGTGTCCAGTCAATGTTTCCATTTGAATCCCTTCAATGATTCCATTCGATTCATTTGATAATTCCAGTCCATTCCATTCGATGATGATTCCATTCAAGTAGATTCATTGATTCCATTGGAGTCCATTCAATAGTTCCATTTGATTCCATTCGATGTTTCCATTCGATTCCACTTGATAATTCCATTTGAGTCCATTTGATCACTCCGTTCAAGTCCATTTGACGATTCCATTCGATTCCATTTGATGATTATCTCAATCGATTCCATTTGATGATTATCCCAATTAATTCCATTCGATGATGATTCCATTCATGCCCCTTCGATGATTCCATTTGATTCCTTTCGATGATGATTCCATTTGAGTCCATTCGACTATTCCATTCTATTCCATTTGATGAGGATTCCTATCAAGTCCATTCGATCATTCCATTCAAGTCCATTCAGTGATTGCTTTCAATTCCATTCGATGATGATTCCATGTGATTCCATTCGATGATGATTCCATTACATACCATTCTATGATTCCATTCAATTCCATTCGATGTTGATTCCATTTGATTCCATTCAATTATTCTATTTGACTCTATTCGATGATGATTCCATTCGATTCCATTCAATGATGCCAGTTGATTACATTTGATGATGATTCTATTCGATTTTATTCAAAGATCGTTCCGTTCAATTCCATTCATTGATGATTCCATTTGAGTCCATTCGATTATTCCACTCAATTCCTTTCAACAATATTTCCGTTCGAGTCCACTCAATGGTGATTCCATTCGATTCCATTCGATGATTACATTCGTTTCAATTCAATGATGATTGCATTTGATTCCATTAAATGATTCCCTTTGATTCCATTCAAAGTTGATTCCATTGGAGTCCATTTGATAATTCCATTTGACGCCAATCCCCAATGATTCCACTCGAGTCCGTTCAATGATTCCATTCAATTCCAGTCGATGATGATTCCATCGGATTCCATTCGATGATGATTCCATACGAGTCCATTTGATGATGATTCCATACGAGTCCATTCGATGATGATACCATTTGAGTCCATTCGATGATGATTCCATTCGAGTCCATTCGATGATGATTCTATTAGAGTCCATTCGATGATTGCATTCAAGTACATTCAATGATTCCATTCGATTCCATCTGATGATGATTCCATTTGAGTCCATTCAATGATTCCATTCAATTCCATTCGATGATGACTGCATTCGGTTCCATTTGATGATGAATAAAACAGATTCCATTTGATGACTCCATTCTATTCCATTCATTGATTATTGCATTTGATTCCATTAGATGATGATTCCATTAGATTCCATTCGATGATGATTGCATTTGATTCCATTCGATGATGATTCCATTAGATTCCTTTCGATGATGATTGCATTTGTTTCCATTTGATGATGATTCCATTTGATACCATTCGATGATGATTCCATTCACTTCCATTCAATGATGATTCCATTCAAGTCCATTCAATGATTCCATTCGATTCCATTCAGTGATGATTCCATTCGGATCCACTCGATGATTCCACTCGATTCCATTAGATGACTCTGTTCGATCCCATTAGATGATTCCCTTCGATTCCATTCAATGATCATTCCGTTTGAATCAATTTGGTGATACCATTCCATTCCAATCGATGATGAATCCATTCGATTCCATTTGATTATGACTCCATTTGATTCCATTCGAGGATGATTCCATTCGCGTCCATACGATGATTCCATTTGATTCCATTCGATGGTGATTCCACTTAAGTCCATTCGATGATTCCATTAGAATCCATTCGATGATGATTAGATTCGATGCCATTCGATGATTCCATTCAATTCCATTCAAGGATGATTCCACTTGTGTCCATTCGATGATTCCATTTGATTCCATTTGATGATGATTCCATTCATGTCCATTCCATGATTCCATTCAATTCCATTCGATGATGATTCCATACGAATCCTTGCAATGATTCCATTCAATTCCCTTTGATGATTCCGTTCGATCCCTTTCTATGATTCCATTCGATTCCATTCGGTGATGACTCCGTTTGGTTCCATTTGATGATGATTCCATTCGGTTCCATACGATGATGATTCCATTCAATTCCATTAGATGATTCCATTCGATTCCATTCGATGATGATTCCATTCATTCCATTCGATGATGGTTCCATTCGAGTCCAATTGATGATTCCATTCAATTCAAATCGATGATGATCCCATTTGTGTCCATTCAATGATTCCATTCGATTCCATTTGATGCCACTCAATGATTCCATCTGATTTCCTTCAATGGTGATTGCATTCGCTTCCATTCATTGATGATTCCATTTGATTCCATTCGATGATGATTCCATTCATATCCATTCGATGATGATTCCATTCTAGTCCAATCAATCATTCCACTTGAGACTATTTGATGATTCCATTCGATTCAATCCCATTATGATTCAATTCAAGTCCATTCAATGATTATTCCTTTTGATTCTATTTGATGATTCAAATCGATTCCATTTGATGATTCACTTCAATTCCTTTTGATGATGATTGCATTCAATTCCATTCGCTGATTCCATTCAATTCCTTTCTATGATGATTCCATTAGGTTTCTTTTGATGATGATTGCACTCGGTTCCATTGGATGATGATACCATTAGTTTCCATTTGATGGTTCAGTTCGATTCCATTCGTGGATGATTTCATTCGATCCTTTCGATGATGATTTCATTTGATTCCATTTGACGACGATTTCATTCGATGGTGATTCCATTCGATTTCATTTGAAGATAATTCCATTCGATTTCATTTGATGATTCTATTCCATTCTATTTTATGATTATTCCATTCGATTCCATTGATGATGACTGTCTTAGAATCCATAAAATGATTCCATTCATGTCCATTTGATGATTCCATTCGATTCCACTCGACGATGATTCCATTCAATTCTATTCAAAGATTATTCCATTCGAGTCCATTTGATGATTCCATTCAATTCCATTCGATGATGATAACATTCAGTTCTATTCGATGATGATTCCCTTCATTTACAATCGATGATTCTATTGGATTCCATTTGATGATGATTCATTCTGATTCCATTGGATGATGATTCCATTCGACTGCATTTGATGATGATTCCATTCATTTCCATTCAATGATGTTTCCATTCAATTCCGCTCGATGATGATTCCACTAGAGTCCATTTGATGATGATTCCATTCGATTCCAGTCAACGATGATTCCATTCGCGTCCATTCAATGATTCCCTTCGATTCCATTCGATGATGATTCCATTCGAATCCATTCAATGATTCCATTCGATTCCATTTGATGATGATTCCATTCGATTCCAGTCAATGATGATTCCATTCGAGTCCATTCAATGATTCCATTCGATTCCATTCGATGATGATTCCATTCGAATCCATTCAATGATTCCATTCGATTACATTTGATGATGATTCTATTCGAGTCCATTCGATGTTTCCATTCGATTCCATTCAATGATGATTCCACTCAACACTTTTCAATGTTTCCATTGGATTCTATTCAATGATGAATCAATTCGAGCCCATTTGATGATTCCATTCAATTCCTTCAATGATGATTCAATTCAATTCCATTCAATTGTGATTCCATTCAATTCCATTCAATGATTCATTCGATTCCATTTGAAGATGAGTCCGTTCACTTCCATTCGTTGATTCCATTCAATTCCATTCAATGATTCCATTCGATTTCAGTCGTTGATATTTCCATTCGATTCCATTGGATGATTATTCCATTCGATTCCATTCGATGATGATTCCATTCGTTCCACTTGATGATGATTCTGTTCAATTCCATTCAAGGATGATTCCATTAGAGTCCATTCGATGATTCCATTCAAGTCCATTCAATGATTCCATTGCATTCCATTTGATGCTGATTCCGTTTGAGTCCACTCGATGATTATACCATTTGATTCCATTCAATGAAGATTCTATTTGATTCCATTCAAGGATGATTCCATTAAAGTGTATTCAATGATTCCATTCGAGTCCATTCGATGATTCCATTCGATTACATTTGATGATGATTCAATTCGTGGCCATTTGATGTTACCATTCGATTCCATTCGATGATGACTCCTTTTGATTACATTCATTAATGATTCCATTTGGTTCCATTCAATGATGATTCCATTCAAGTCCATTCAATGATTCCATTTGATTCCATTTGATGATGATTCCATTAGAGTCCATTCGATGATTCCATTTGATTCCATTTGATGATGTTTCCATTCGAGTCCATTCGATGTTTCTACTGAATTCCATTAGATGATTATTCCATTCAATTCCATTCAATGGTGATTCCATTCAATTCCATTCCATGATTCCATTCGATTCCATTCAATGATGATTTCATTCGATTCCATACCATGATTCCATTCGATTCCTTTCAATGATGCTTCCCTTTGATTGCATTTGATGATGATTCCATTGATTTCATTCAATGATGATTCCATTTGATTCCATTCGATGATGATTCCATTAGAGTCCATTCGATGATGATTCCATTAGAGTCCATTTAATGATGATTCCATTAGAGTCCATTTGATGATGATTCCATTCGAGTCCATTCGATGATTCCATTCGATTCCATTCGATGATGATTCCGGTTGAGTCCATTTGATGATTCCATTTGGTTCGATTCTATGATGATTCCACTCGAGTCCACTCAATGATGATTCCACTCAATTCCATTCGAGGATGATACCACTCGTGTCCATTTGATGATGATTCCATTCGATTCCAATCAGTGGTGATTCCATTCATTTCCATTCGTGATTCCCTTCGATTCCATTCGATAATGATTTCATTTGATTCCGTACGATGATTCCTTTCGATTCCATTTGATGCTTATTCTGTTCAATTCCAATTGATGATTCCATTCGATTCCATTCAATGAATAGATTCAATTCCAGTCTTTGATGTTTCCATTCGATTCCATTCGATGATGATTCCACTACATTCCATTCGATGATGATTCCGTTCAATTTCATTTGATGATTCTATTGGATTCCACTCGGCGATGATGCCATTCAATTCCATTGGATGATTCCATTTGATTCCACTCGATGATGATCCCATTCGATTTCATTCATTGATTCCATAAAATTCCACTCGATGATGATTCCATTCGATGCCATTCAATGATTACTGCATTCAATTCCATTTGATGATGATTCCTTTCGAATCCATTCGATGATAATTCCATGTGATTCAATTTGATGATGATTCAATTTGATTCCATGTGAAGAGGATTCCATTCGATGATGATTCCATTCGATTCCATTCGATGATGATTCCATTCGATTGCATTTGATGATGATTCCATTCGTGTCCATTCAAATATGCCATTCGATTACATTCCATGACGATTCCATTCGAGTCCATTCAAAGATTCCTTTCGACTCCATTCAACGATGATTCCTTTCGATGTTATTCAATGATTCTGTTCGATTTCATTCGATGATGATTCCATTCGACTCCATTTGACGATTCCATTCGAGTCCATATGATTATTCCATTAGATTCCATTAGATGATGATTCCATTCGATGCCATTTGATGATTCCATTCTATTCCATTCAATGATGATTCCATTCGAGTCCATTCGATGATGACTGCGTTCAATTCCATTCGATGATTCCATTTGATTCCATTCAATGATGATTACAATTCATTCCATTTGATGATTCCATTCGATGATTCCATTTGATTCCATTCGATAATGATTCCATTTGAGTCCATTCGGTGATTCGATTTGAACCCATTCTATAATTCCATGTGAGTCCAATCCATGATTCCATTCAAGTCCATTGGATCATTCCATTTGAGTCCATTCAATGATGATTCCATTCGAGTCCATTCGATGATTCCATTCCATATTTCCATTTGAGTCCATTCGATGATTGCTTTTGATTCCATTCAATTATATTCCATTTGAGTCCATTCGGTGATTCCATTTGATTCTATTCAATGGTGATTCCATTCGTGTCCATTCGGTGATTCCTTTCGATTTCATTCGATGATGATTCCTTTTGAGTCCATTAGATGATTCCATTCGATTCCATTTGATGATTATTCCATTTGAGTCCATTCAGTGATTCCATTCGATTCCATTCGATGATGATTCCATTCAATTCCATTCAATGATTCCATTCAATTCCATTCGATGATGATTCCATTCAATTCCATTCAATGATTCCATTCTATTCCATTCGATGATGATTTCATTCGAGTCCATTCAATGATTCTACTCGATTCCATACGATGATGATTCTGTTCGATTCCATTCGATGATTTCATTCTATTCCATTCAATGATGATTCCATTCGAGTACATTAGATGATTCCAATCGAACCCATTCGATGATGATTCTATTCATGCCCATTAGATGATTCCACATGATTCCATTCGAAGATGATTCCATTCGAGTCCATTCGATGATTCCATTCGATGATGATTCCATTCGAGAACATTCATTGGTGATTCCATTCAATTCCATTCATTGATTCCATTCAATTCCATTCGACAATGATTCCAATCGATTCCATTCAAAGATTCCACTCAATTGCACTTGAGGATGATTCCCTTGGATTCCGTTCGATGATTCCATTTGATTCCATTCGATGATGATTGCCTTCAATTCCATTCGATGATTCCATTCGATTCCATTCGAAGATTCCATTCGATTCCATTCAATGATGATTCCGTTCAATTCCATTTGATGTTTCCATTTGATTCTATTCGAGGATTCCATTCGATTCCATTTGATGATGATTCCATTAAAGTCCATTCAATGATTT
This sequence comes from Homo sapiens, assembly GCF_000001405.40. Taxonomy (NCBI): domain Eukaryota; kingdom Metazoa; phylum Chordata; class Mammalia; order Primates; family Hominidae; genus Homo; species Homo sapiens. Next base: position 8,974 of record NT_187371.1, read on the forward strand.
CATTCGAGTCAATTCAGTGATTCCATTTTAGTCCATTTGATGATTCCATTCAATGATGATTCCCCTAGATTCCATTTGATGATTCCATTCGAGTCCATTCAATAATTCCATTTGACTCCATTAAATCGTTATTCCATCCGATTTAATTCAATGGTTCCATTCGATTCCATTCGATGACAATTCCATTTGATTCCATTCGATGATGTTTCCATTCGATCCCATTCGATGATTAGCCATTCAATTCAATTCCATGATGATTCCATTTGATTCAATTCGATCATGTTTCCATTCGATTCCATTTCACGATGATTCCATTCGAGTCCATGCAATGATGAGTCCATTCAATTCCGTTCATTGATGATTCCATTCGATATCGTTCGATGCTTCTATTCGATTCCAATCAATGATTCCATCTGATTCTGTGCAATGACTCCATTCGATTCCATTCAGTGATGATTTCATTCAATTCCATCCGATGATGATTTCATTTGATTCCATTCGATGATTCCATTCGATTCTATTCGATGATGATTCCAGTCAAATCCATTCGATGATTCCACATGATTCCATTCAATGACTCTGTTCAATCCCATTTGATAATTCCCTTCGATTCCATTCGATGTTCATTTCATTTGATTCCATTCGGTGATTCCATTTGATTCTGTTCAATGATGATTGCATCCGACTTCATTCGATGATGATTCCATTCGAGTCCATTTGATTATTCCATTCGATTCCATTCCATGATGATTGCATTCAAGTCCATTCGATGATTCCATTCGATGCCATTCGATGATTCCATTAGATTCCATTTGATCATGATTCCATTCAATGCCATTCGATGTTTCCATTTGATTCCATTCAACGATGATTCCATTCGAGTCCATTTGATGATTCTGTTTGATTCCATTCGATGATGATTCCATTCGAGTCCATTAGATGATGATTCCATTCTAATCCATTTGATGATTCCATTCGATTCCATTTGATTATGACTGCATTCGGTTCCATCTGATGATGATTCCAACGGATTCCATTCGATTTCTCCATTTGATTCCATTCGTTTATGATTCCATTCATTTCCATTTGATGATGATTCCATTAGATTCCATTCCATGATTATTCCATTCGATTCCATTCAATGACGATTCCATTCGATTCCATTCAATGATGGTTCCATTCGATTCCATTTGATGATTCCATTTGTTTACATTTGATGGTGTTTCCATTCGGGTCCATTCAATGATTAAATTTGATTCCATTCGGTGATGATTCCATTCGAGTACATTCAATGATTCCATTCAAGTCCAGTCGATTATTCCATTTGATTACATTCGATTCCATTCGATGATGATTCCACTTGAGTACATTCAATGATTCCATTCAAGTCCATTGGATGATTCCTTGATTCCTTTTGATTCCATTCAATCATGATTCCATTTGAGTGCATTCAATTATTCCATTCAATTCTACTCAAAGATAATTCCATTCGAGTCCATTAGAGGATTCCATTTGATTCCATGCAATGATGATTCCATCGAGTCCATTTCATGATACCATTTGATACCATTCGATGATGACTGCATTCAGTTCCATTCGATGACGATTCCAACGGACTCCATTCGATGACTGCATTCGACTACATTCATTGATGATTCCATTCGATTCCAATCAACTATGGTTCCATTCAATTTTCTTTCGATGATGATTCCATTCATTTCCATTAGATGATGATTCCATTCAAATCCATTCCACGATGATTCCTTTTGATTCTATTCGATGATTCAATTTGTGTCCATTTGATGCTGATTCCATTCATGTACATTAGATGATTCCATTCATGTCCATTCATGTCCATTCTAGTCCCTTCATAGATTCCATCCAATTCCATTTGATGATGATTCCATTCGAGTCTAATCGATTATTCCATTCGATTCCATTTGATGATTCCATTCAAGTCCATTCGATTATACCATTCGAGTCTATTTGATGATTCCATTTGATTCCATTTGATGGTTATTCCATTTGATTCCATTCGATGATTCCGTTTGATTCCATTCGATGATTCCCTTCGATTTCTTTCAATGATGATTCCATTCTATTCCATTCGATGAATCCATTCTATTCTATTCGATGATGATTCCTTTTGATTACATTCAAAGATGATTCCATTCGATTCCATTTGATGATGACTTGGTTTGGTTCAATTCGATGATGATTCCAACGGATATTTGCATAGTTGGAGGATTTCTTAAGAAACGGGAATATCCTCATATAAAATCTAGACAGAAGCATTATCAGAAACATCTGTGTGATGTTTGCATTCAAGTCACAGAGTTGAACATTCCTTTTCATAGAGCAGGTTCGAAACACTGATTTTGTAGTATCTGCAACAGAACATTTGGATCGCTTTGTGGCATATGGTGAAAAAGGAAATATCTTCCCATAAAAAATAGACAGAAGCATTATCAGAAACTAGTTTGTGATGTGTGTACTCAACTCACAGAGTTGAACCTTTCTTTTGATAGAGCATTTTAGCAACATCGTTTTTGTAGAATCTGCAAGAGGATATTTGGATACCTTTGAGGATTTCGTTGGAAACGGGAATATCTTCATATAAAATCTAGACAGAAGCATTCTCAGAAACATCTGTGTGATGTTTGAATTCAAGTCCCAGAGTTGAACATTCCCTTTCATAGAGCAGGTTTGAAATACTCTTTTTGTAGTATCTGGAACTCACAATTTGATCGCTTTATTCTTATGGTGAAAAAGGAAATATTTTCCCATAAAAGCTACACAGAAGCATTCTCAGAAACTTGTTGTGATGTGTGTACACAACTAACAGAGTTGAAAATTTCTTTGGATAGACCAGTTTTGAAACACTCTTTTTGTAGAATCTGCAAGAGCATATTTGGATAGATTTGTGGATTTTCTTTGGAAACGGGAATATCTTCATATAAAATACAGACAGAGGCAGTCTCAGAAACATCTCTGTGATGTTTGCATTCAAGTCACAGAGGTGAACATTCCCTTTCATACAGCAGGTTTGAAACACTGATTTTGTATTATCTGCAACCGGACATGTTGAGCCATTTTTGGTCTACGGTGAAAAAGGAAATATCTTCCCAAAAAAACTAGACAGAACCATTCTCAGAAAATAGTTTGTGATGTGTGTACACAAATAAAAGAGTTGAACCTTTCTTTTGATAGAGCAGCATTGAAAGACTCTTTTTGTTGAATCTGCAAGTGGATATTTGGATAGCTTTGAGGATTTCATTGGAAAAGGAAATATCTTCATACAAAATCTAGACAGAAGCATTCTCAGAAACATCTCGGCGATGTTTGCATTCAAGTCACAGAGTTAAACATTCCCTTTCAAGAAGCAGGTTTGAAAAAACTGATTTTGTAGTTTGTGGAACTGGACATGTGGAGCCAGTGGTGGCCTGTGGTGAAAAAGGAAATATCTTCCATTAAAAACTACGCGGAAGGATTCTCAGAAACTAGTTTGTGATGTGTTTACTGAACTACCAAAGTTGAACCTTTCTTTTGATAGAGCAGATTCATGCTGCTATAAAGACACATGCACACGTATGTTTATTGCGGCATTATTCACAATAGCAAAGACTTGGAACCAACCCAAATATCCAACAATGATAGACTGGATTAAGAAAATGTGGCACATATACACCATGGAATACTATGCAGCCATAAAAAATGATGAGTTCATGTCCTTTGTAGGGACATGGATGAAATTGGAAACCATCATTCTCAGTAAACTATCGCAAGAACAAAAAACCAAACACCGCATATTCTCACTCATAGGTGGGAATTGAACAATGAGATCGCATGGACACAGGAAGGGGAATATCACACTCTGGGGACTGTGGTGGGGAGTGGGGGGAGGGATAGCATTGGGAGATATACCTAATGCTAGATGACACGTTAGTGGGTGCAGCACACCAGCATGGCACATGTATACATATGTAACTAACCTGCACAATGTGCACATGTACCCTAAAACTTAAAGTATAATTAAAAAAAAATACCTTTAATAATAAAAAAAAAGATAGAGCAGATTTGAAACAATCTTTTTGTAGAATCTGCAAGGGATATTTGGATAGCTTTGAGGATTTCATTGGAAACTGGAATATCTTCATACAAAATCTACACAGAAGCATTCTCAGAAACATCTTTGGGATGTTTGCATTCAAGTAATAGAGTTGAACATTCCCTTTCATAGAGCAGGTTTGAAACATTCTTTTTGTGGAATCTGGAAGTGGATATTTGGATCACATGGAGGCCTAATTGTGAACAAGGAGATATCTTCACATAAAAAGTAGACGGAAGCATTCTCCTAAACTTGCTTGGAATGTGTGTACTTAACTAACAGAGTTGAGCCTTTCTTTTGATAGAGCAGTTTTGAAACACTCTTTTTCTAGAATCTGCATGTGGATATTTGGATAGATTTGAGGATTTCGTTGGAAACAGGAATATCTTCATATCAAATCAAGACACAAGCATTCTCAGAAACATCTTTGGGATGTTAGCATTCTAGTCAAAGAGTTGAACATTCCCTTTCATAGAGCAGGTTTGAAACATTCTTTTTATAGTATCTGCAAGTGGACATTTTCATCGCTTTGAGACCTATGGTGAAAAAGGAAATATCTTCGTATAAAAACTAGACAGAAACATTCTCAGAAATAACTTTGTGATATGTTTACTCAACTAACACAGTTGAACCTTTCTTTTGATAGAGCAGTTTGAAACACTTTTTTTGTAGAATCTGAAAGTGGATATTTGGATAGCTTTGAGGATTTCTTTGGGAAAGGGGATATGTTCATATAAAATCTAGACAGAAGCATTCTCAGAAACATCTCTGTGAGGATTGCATTCAAGTCACAGGTTAAATATTCCCTTTCATAGAGCAGGTTTTAAACAATGAATTTGTAGTATGTGGAATTGGACATTTGGAGCGCTTTGTGGCCTAATGTGAAAAAGGAAATATCTTCCCACAAAAACTAGACAGAAGTACTCTCATAAACTACCTTGCGATGTGTGTGCTCAACTAACAGAGCTGAACATTTCGTTTGATAGAGCAGTTTTGAAACACTCTTTTTGTAGAATCTGCATGTGGATTTGGATAGCTTTGAGGATTTCGTTGCAAAGGGGAATATCTCTATATAAAATCTAGACAGAAGCATTCACAGAAACATCCTTGGGGTGTTAGCATTCAAGTCACAGAGTGGAACATTCACTTTCATAGAGCAGGTTTGAAACACTATTTTTGTGGAATCTGGAAGTGGACATTTTGATCGCTTTGAGGCCTATGGTGAAAAAAGGGAATATCTTCGCATAAAAACTAGAGAGAAGTATTCTCAGACACATCTTTGGGATGTTAGCATTCTAATGACAGAGTTGATCATTCCCTTTCATAGAACAGGTATGAAACACTCTTTTTGTAGTATCTGGAAGTGGACATTTTGATCACTTTGAGGCCTATGGTGAAAAAGGGAATATCATCGCATAAAAACTAGACAGAAGCATTCTCATAAACTTGTTTGTGATGTGTGAACTCAACAAACAGAGGTGAACTTTCTTTTGATAGAGCAGATTTGAAACACACTTTTTGTAGAATCTGCATGTGGATATTTAGATAGCTTCGAGGATTTCATTAGAAACGGGAAAATCTTCATATGAAATAGAGACACAAGCATTCTCAGAAACCTCTTTGGGATGTTAGCATTCGTGTCGCAGAGTTGATCACTCCCTTTCATAGAGCAGGTTTGAAACACTCTTTTTGTCATATCTGGAAGTGGACATTTTGATCGCTTTGAGGAGTAAGGTGAAAAAGGAAATATCTTCCCACAAAAACTACACAGAAGCATTCTCAGAAACTACTTAGTTATGTGTTTACTCAACTAACGGAGTAGAACCTTTCTTTTGATAGACCAGTTTTGAAACACTCTTTTTATAGAATCTGCAAGTGGATATTTTGATAGCTTTGAGGATTTCCTTGGAAATGGGAATATCCTCATATAAAATCTAGATAAAAGCATTCTCAGAAACACCTTTGTGATGTCTGCATTGAAGTCAGAGAGTTCTACATTCCCTTTCATAGAACAGCTTTGAAACACTATTTTTGTAGTATCTGGAAATGGACATTTAGATCGCTTTGAGGCCTATGGTGAAAAAGGAAATATCTTTACATAAAAACTAGACGGAAGCAGTCACCCAAACTTATTGGGAATGTGTGTACTCAACTAACCGATTTGGATTTTCCTTTGATAGAGCAGTTTTGAAACACTCTTTTTGTGGAATCTGCAAGTGGATATTTGGATAGCTTTGAGGATTAGGTTGGAAACGGGAATAAGTTCTTATAAAACCTAGGCAGAAGCATTCTCAGAAACATCTCTGTGAGGATTGCATTCAAGTCCCAGAGTTGAACATTCCCTTTCATAGAGCAGTTATGAAATCATGATTTTGTAGTATGTGGAACTAGACATTTGGAGTGCTTTGTGGCCTAGTGTGAAAAAGGAAATATCTTCCCATAAAAACTAGGCAGAAGCATTCTCAGAAACCAGTTTGTGATATGTGTACACAACTAACAGGGTTGAACATTTCTTCTGAGAGAGGACTCTTGAAACACTCTTTTTGTAGACTCTGCAAGGGGTATTTGGATAGCTTTGAGGATTTCGTTAGAAACGTGAATATCTTCGTATAAAATCTAGACAGAAGCATTCTCAGAAACATCTTTGGGATTTTTGCATTCAAGTCAAGGAGTTGAACATTCCCTATCATGGAGCAGGTTTGCAAAACTCTTTTTGTGGAAACTGGACGTGGACATTTAGATCGCATTGAGGCCTGTGGTGAAAAAAGGAATATCTTCGAATAAAAACTAGAGAGAAGCATTCTCATAATCTAGTTTGTGGTGTGTGTGCTCAACTAACAGAGCTGAACGTTTCTTTTCATAAAGCAGTATTGAAACACTCTTTTTTTAGAATCTACCTGTGGATATTTGGAAAGCTTTGAGGATTTCGTTGGAAACGCGAATATCTTCTTATAAAATCTAGATAGAAGCATTCTCAGAAACATCTTTGGGGTGTTAGCATTCAAGTCAAAGAGTTGAACATTCCCTTTCATAGAGCAGGTTTGAAACACTCTTTTTGTGGAATCTGGAAGTAGACATTTTGATCGCTTTGAGGCCTGTGGTGAAAAAGGGAATATCTTCGCATAAAAACTAGACAGAAGTATTCTCATAAACTAGGTTGTGATGTGTGTGCTCAACTAACAGAGTCGAAACTTTCTTTTGATAGAGCAGTTTTGAAACACTCTTTTTGTAGAATTTGCATGTGGATATTTGGACAGCATTGAGGATGTCGTTGGAATCGGGAAAATCTGCATATGAAATGGACACACAAGCATTCTCAGAAACCTCTTTGGGATGTTAGCATTCCAGTCGCAGAGTTGAACATTCTCTTTCATAGAGCAGGTTTGAAACACTCTTTTTGTATATCTGGAAGTGGACATTTTGATCGCTTTGAGGCGAAAGGTGAAAAAGGAAATATCTTCCCACAAAAACTACACAGAAGTATTCTCAGAAACTACTTTGTGATGTGTTTACTCAACTAACAGAGGTGAACCTTTTTTTTTGATAGACCACTCTTGAAACACTCTTTTTATAGAATCTGCAAGTGGATATTTTGATAGCTTTGAGGATTTCCTCAGAAACGATAATATCTTCATATAAAATCTAGAGAGAAGCATTCTCAGAAACAACTCTGTGATGTTTGCGTTCAAGTCAGAGAGTTGTACATTCCCTTTCATAGAGCAGGTTTGAGACACTCTTTTTGTAGTATCTGGAAATGGACATTTAGATCCCTTTGAGGCTTATGGTGAAAAACGAAATATCTTCGCATAAAAAATAGACGGAAGCAGTCTCCAAAACTTGTTTGGAATGTGTGTACTCAACTAACAGAGTTGAATCTTTCTTTTGATAGAGCAGTTTTGAAACACTCTTTTTGTAGAATCTGCAAGCGGATATTTTTGTATAGCTTTGAGGATTTCGTTGGGAATGGGAATATGTTCATATAAAATATAGACAGAAGCATTCTCAGGAACATCTCTGTGAGGATTGCATTCAAGTCCCAGAGTTGAACATTCCCTTTCATAGAGCAGTTATGAAATCATGATTTTGTAGTATGTGGAACTAGACATTTGGAGTGCTTTGTGGCCTAGTGTGAAAAAGGAAATATCTTCCCATAAAAACTAGGCAGAAGCATTCTCAGAAACCAGTTTGTGATATGTGTACACAACTAACAGGGTTGAACATTTCTTCTGAGAGAGGACTCTTGAAACACTCTTTTTGTAGACTCTGCAAGGGGTATTTGGATAGCTTTGAGGATTTCGTTAGAAACGTGAATATCTTCGTATAAAATCTAGACAGAAGCATTCTCAGAAACATCTTTGGGATTTTTGCATTCAAGTCAAGGAGTTGAACATTCCCTATCATGGAGCAGGTTTGCAAAACTCTTTTTGTGGAAACTGGACGTGGACATTTGGATCGCATTGAGGCCTGCGGTGAAAAAAGGAATATCTTCGAATAAAAACTAGAGAGAAGCATTCTCATAATCTAGTTTGTGGTGTGTGTGCTCAACTAACAGAGCTGAACGTTTCTTTTCATAAAGCAGTATTGAAACACTCTTTTTTTAGAATCTACCTGTGGATATTGGAAAGTTTTGAGGATTTCGTTGGAAACGCGAATATCTTCTTATAAAATCTAGATAGAAGCATTCTCAGAAACATCTTTGGGGTGTTAGCATTCAAGTCAAAGAGTTGAACATTCCCTTTCATAGAGCAGGTTTGAAACACTCTTTTTGTGGAATCTGGAAGTAGACATTTTGATCGCTTTGAGGCCTGTGGTGAAAAAGGGAATATCTTCGCATAAAAACTAGACAGAAGTATTCTCATAAACTAGGTTGTGATGTGTGTGCTCAACTAACAGAGTTGAACCTTTCTTTTGATAGAGCAGTTTTGAAACACTTTTTTTGTAGAATTTGCATGTGGATATTTGGACAGCATTGAGGATGTCGTTGGAATCGGGAAAATCTGCATATGAAATGGACACACAAGCATTCTCAGAAACCTCTTTGGGATGTTAGCATTCCAGTCGCAGAGTTGAACATTCTCTTTCATAGAGCAGGTTTGAAACACTCTTTTTGTATATCTGGAAGTGGACATTTTGATCGCTTTGAGGCAAAAGGTGAAAAAGGAAATATCTTCCCACAAAAACTACACAGAAGTATTCTCAGAAACTACTTTGTGATGTGTTTACTCAACTAACAGAGGTGAACCTTTTTTTTGATAGACCACTCTTGAAACACTCTTTTTATAGAATCTGCAAGTGGATATTTTGATAGCTTTGAGGATTTCCTCAGAAACGATAATATCTTCATATAAAATCTAGAGAGAAGCATTCTCAGAAACAACTCTGTGATGTTTGCATTCAAGTCAGAGAGTTGTACATTCCCTTTCATAGAGCAGCTTTGAAACACTCTTTTTGTAGTATCTGGAAATGGACATTTAGATCCCTTTGAGGCTTATGGTGAAAAAGGAAATATCTTCGCAAAAAAAATAGATGGAAGCAGTCTCCAAAACTTGTTTGGAATGTGTGTACTCAACTAACAGAGTTGAATCTTTCTTTTGATAGAGCAGTTTTGAAACACTCTTTTTGTAGAATCTGCAAGTGGATATTTTTGTATAGCTTTGAGGATTTCGTTGGGAATGGGAATATGTTCATATAAAATATAGACAGAAGCATTCTCAGGAACATCTCTGTGAGGATTGCATTCAAGTCCCAGAGTTGAACATTCCCTTTCATAGAGCAGTTATGAAATCATGATTTTGTAGTGTGTGGAACTGGACATTTGGAGTGCTTTGTGTCCTATTGTGAAAAAGGAAATATCTTCCCATAAAAAATTGGCAGAAGCATTCTCAGAAACCAGTTTGTGATGTGTGTACTCAACTAACAGGGTTGAACCCTTCTTTTGAGAGAGCACTCTAGAAACACTCTTTTTGTAGAGTCTGCAAGTGGATATTTGGATAGCTTTGAGGATTTCCTTGGAAACGGCAATATCTTCATATAAAATCTAAACAGACGATTCTCAGAAACATCTTTGGGATGTTTGCATTCAAGTCACAGAGTTGAACATTCCCTTTCATGGAGCAGGTTGAAAACACCCTTTTTGTGCAATCTGGAAGTGGACATTTGGATCGCATTGGGGCCTATGGTGAAAAAGGGAATATCCTCGAATAAAAACTAGACAGAAGCATTCTCATAAAGCAGTTTGTGATGTGTGTGCTCAACTAACAGAGCTGAACCTTTCTTTTCATAGAGTAGTTTTGAAACACTCTTTTTGTGGAATCTGCATGTGGATATTTGGAAAGTTTTGAGGATTTCTTTGGAAAAGGGAATATCTTCCTATAAAATCTAGACAAAAGCATTCTCGGAAACATCTTTGGGATATTAGCCTTCAAGTCACAGAGTTGAATATTCCCATACATAGAGCAGGTTTGAAACACTCTTTTTGTTGCATCTGGAAGTGGACTTTTGGATCGCTTTGAGGCGTGTGGTGAAAAAGGGAATATCTTCGCATAAAAACTATACAGAAGTATTCTCATAAACTAGTTTGTGATGTGTGTTCTCAACTAACAGATTTCAACATTTCTTTTGATAGAGCGGTTTTGAAACACTCTTTTTGTAGAATTTGCATGTGAATATTTGTACAACTTTGAGGATTTTGTCGGAAACCTGGAAATCTTCCTATGAAATCGAGACAAGCATTCTCAGGAATCTCTTTGGGATGTTAGCATTCGAGTCACAGAGTTGAACATTCCCTTTCATAGAGCAGGTTTGAAACACTCTTTTTGTAGTGTCTGGAAGTGGACATTTGGATTGCTTTCAGGCTTAAGGTGAAAAAGGAAATATCTTCCCACAAAAACTACACAGAAGCATTCTCAGAAACTACTTTGTGATGTGTTTACTCAACTTCAGAGTTGAACATTTCTTTTGATAGAGCAGTTTTGAAACACTCTTTTTGTAGAATCTGCAAGAGGATATTTGGAGAGCTTTGAGGATTTCTTGGAAACGGGACTATCTTCATATAAAATCTAGACAGAAGCATTCTCAGAAGCAAATTTGTGATGTTTACCTTGAAGTCAGAGAGTTGTACATTCCCTTTCATAGAGCAGGTCTGAAACACTCTTTTTGTAGTATGTGGAAATGGACATTTAGATCGTTTTGACACCTATGGTGAAAAAGGAAATATCTTCACATAAAAACTAGACGGAAGCAATCTCCAAAACTTGTTTGGAATGTGTGTACTCAGCTAACAGAGTTGAATCTTTTTTTTGATAGACAGTTTTGAAACACTCTTTTTGTAAAATCTGCAAGTGGATATTGGGATAGCTTTGAGGATTTCCTTGGAAAGGGGAATATGTTCATATACAAACTAGACAGAAGAATTTTCAGAAACATCTCTGTGAGGATTGCATTCAAGTCCCAGAGTTGAACATTCCCTTTCATAGAGCAGGTATGAAAACCTGATTTTGTAGTATGTGGAACTGGTCATTTGGAGTACTTCGTGACCTATTGTCAAAAGGGAATATCTTGCCATAAAAACTAGGTAGAAGTATTTTCAGAAACAAGTTTGTGATGTGTATACTCAACTAACAGGTTTGAAACTTTCTTTTGATAGAGCACTCTTGATACACTCTTTTTGTAGACTCTGCAAGGGGATATTTGGATAGCTTTGAGGATTTCTTTGGAAACGGGAATATCTTAATATGAAATCTAGACAGAAGCATTCTCAGAAACATCTTTGGGATATTTGCATTCAAGTCAGAGAGTTGAACATTCCCTTTCATGGAGCAGGTTTGAGACACTCTTTTTGTGCAATCTGGAAGTGGACATTTGGATCGCATTGGGGCCTATGGTGAAAATGGAAATATCTTCGAATAAAAACTAGACAGAAGCATTCTCATAAACTAGCTTGTGATGTGTGGGCTCAACTGACAGAGCGGAACCTTTCTTTTGAGAGAGCACTGTTGAAACACTCTTTTTGTACACTCTGCAAGGGGATATTTGGACAGCTTTGAGGATTTCGTTGGAAACAGGATATCTTCATATAAAATCTCGACAGAAGCATCCTCAGAAACATCTTTGGGATGTTTGCAATCAAGTCACAGAGTTGAACATTCCCTTTCATGGAGCAGGTTTGAAACACTCTTTTTGTGGAATCTGGAAGTGGACATTTGGATCGCTTTGAGGCCTGCGGTGAAAAAGGGAATATCTTCGAATAAAATCTAGACAGAAGCATTCTCATAAACTAGTTTGTGATGTGTGTGCTTAACTAACAGAGCTGAACCTTTCTTTTCATAGAGCGGTTTTGAAACACTCTTTTTGTAGAATCTGCATGTGGATATTTGGAAAGCTTTGAGGATTTCTTTGGAAACGGGAATATCTTCACTTAAAATCTAGACAGAAGCATTCTCAGAAACGTCTTTGGGGTGTTAGCATTCAAGTCACATAGTTGAACGTTCCTTTTCATAGAGCAGTTTTGAAACACTCTTTTTGTGGAATCTGGAAGTGGACATTTGCATCGCTTTGAGGCCTGCGGTGAAGAAGGTATATTTTCGCATAAAAACTAGACAGAAGTATTCTCATAAACTAGTTTGTGATGTGTGTGTTCAACTACCAGAGTTGAACCTTTCTTTTGATAGAGCAGTTTTGAAACACTCTTTTTGTGTAATTTGCATGTGGATATTTGGACAGCTTTGAGGATTTTGTTGGAAACGGGAAAATCTTCATATGAAATCGAGACACAAGCATTCTCAGAAACCTCTTTGGGATGTTAGCGTTCGAGTCACAGAGTTGATCACTCCCTTTCATAGAGTAGCTTTGAAGCACTCTGTTTGTAATATCTGGAAGTGGACGTTTTGATCGCTTTGAGGCGTAAGGTGAAAAAGGAAATATCTGGCCACAAAAACTACACAGAAGCATTCTCAGAAACTACGTTGTGATGTGTTTACTCAACTAACAGAGTTGAACCTTTCTTTTGATAGAGCAGTTTTGAAACACTCTTTTTGGAGAATCTGCAGGTGGATATTTGGATAGCTTTGAGGATTTCCTTGGAAAAGGGAATATCTTCATATAAAATCTAGACAGAAGCCTTCGCAGAAACAACTTTGTGATGTTTGCATTGAAGTCAGAGAGTTGTACATTCCCTTTCATAGAGCAGCTTTCAAACACTCTTTTTGTAGTATCTGGAGATGGACATTTACATCGCTTTGAGGCCTATGGTGAAATAGGAAATCTGTTCGCATAAAAACTAGACGGAAGCAGTCTCCAAAACTTGCTTGGAATGTGTGTACTCAACTAACAGAGTTGAATCTCTCTTTTGATAGAGCAGTTTTGAAATACTCTTTTTGTAGAGTCTACAATTGGATATTTGGATAGCTTAGAGGATTTCGTTGGAAACGGGAATATGTCCATACAAAACCTAGACAGAAGCATTCTCAGAAAAATCTCTGTGAGGATTGCATTCAAGTCCCAGTGTTGAACATTCCCTTTCATAAAGCAGGTGTGAACACAAGATTTTGTAGTATATGGAACTGGACATTTGGAGTGCTTTGTGACCTATTGTGAAAAGGGAAATATCTTCCCATATAAACTAGGCAGAAGCATTCTCAGAAACCAGATTGTGATGTGTGTACTCAACTAACAGGGGTGAACCTTCCTTTTGAGAGAGCACTCTTGAAACACTCTTTTTGTAGACTCTGCAATGGGATATTTGGACAGCTTTGAGGATTTCGTTGGAAACGGGATATCTTCATATAAAATCTCGACAGAAGCATCCTCAGAAACATCTTTGGGATGTTTGCATTCAAGTCACAGAGTTGAACATTCCCTATCATGGAGCAGGTTTGAAACACTCTTTTTGTGGAATCTGGAAGTGGACATTTGGATCGCATTGAGGCCTACGGTGAAAAAGGGAATATCTTCGAATAAAAACTATATAGAAGCATTCTCATAAACTAGTTTGTGATGTGTGTGCTTAACTAACAGAGCTGAACCTTTCTTTTCATAGAGCGGTTTTGAAACACTCTTTTTGTAGAATCTGCATGTGGATATTTGGAAAGCTTTGAGGATATCGTTGGAAACGGGAATATCTTCACATAAAATCTAGACAGAAGCATTCACAGAAACGTCTTTGGGGTGTTAGCATTCAAGTCACAGAGTTGAACGTTCCTTTTCATAGAGCAGGTTTGAAACACTCTTTTTGTGGAATCTGGAAGTGGACCTTTGGATCGCTTTGAGGCCTGCGGTGAAAAAGGTATATCTTTGCATAAAAACTAGACACAAATATTCTCATGAACTAGTTTGTGATGTGTGTGCTCAACTACCAGAGTTGAACCTTTCTTTTGATAGAGCAGTTTTTAAACACTCTTTTTGTGTAATTTGCATGTGGATATTTGGACAGCTTTGAGGATTTCGTTGGAAACGGGAAAATCTTCATATCGAGACACAAGCATTCTCAGAAACCTCTTTGGGATGTTAGCGTTCGAGTCACAGAGTTGATCACTCCCTTTCATAGAGTAGCTTTGAAGCACTCTGTTTGTAGTATCTGGAAGTGGACGTTTTGATCGCTTTGAGGCGTAAGGTGAAAAAGGAAATATCTTGCCACAAAAAATACACAGAAGCATTCTCAGAAACTACGTTGTGATGTGTTTACTCAACTAACAGAGTTGAACCTTTCGTTTGATAGAGCAGTTTTGAAACACACTTTTTGGAGTATCTGCAGGTGGATATTTGGATAGCTTTGAGGATTTCCTTGGAAAAGGGAATATCTTCATATAAAATCTAGACAGAAGCCTTCGCAGAAACTCCTTTGTGATGTTTGCATTGAAGTCAGAGAGTTGTACATTCCCTTTCATAGAACAGCTTTGGAACACTCTTTTTGTAGTATCTGGAGATGGACATTTAGATCGCTTTGAGGCCTATGGTGAAATAGGAAATATCTTCGCACAAAAACTAGACGGATGCAGTCTCCAAAACTTGTTGGGAATGTGTGTACTCAACTAACAGAGTTGAATCTTTCTTTTGATAGAGCAGTTTTGAAACACTCCTTTTGTAGGGTCTGCAAGTGGATATTTGGATAGCTTAGAGGATTTCGTTGGAAACGGAATATGTCCATACAAAACCTAGACAGAAGCATTCTCAGAAAAATCTCTGTGAGGATTGCATTCAAGTCCCAGTGTTGAACATTCCCTTTCATAAAGCAGGTGTGAACACAAGATTTTGTAGTATATGGAACTGGACATTTGGAGTGCTTTGTGACCTATTGTGAAAAAGGAAATATCTTCCCATATAAACTAGGCAGAAGCATTCTCATAAAGCAGTTTGTGATCTGTGTACTCAACTAACAGGGTTGAACCTTTCTTTTGAGAGAGCACTCTTGAAACACTCTTTTTGTAGACTCTGCAATGGGATATTTGGAAAGCTTTGAGGATTTCGTTGGAAACAGGATATCTTCATATAAAATCTCGACAGAAGCATCCTCAGAAACATCTTTGGGATGTTTGCATTCAAGTCACAGAGTTGAACATTCCCTATCATGGAGCAGGTTTGAAACACTCTTTTTGTGAAATCTGGAAGTGGACATTTCGATCGCATTGAGGCTTACGGTGAAAAAGGGAATATCTTCGAATAAAAACTAGACAGAAGCATTCTCATAAACTAGTTTGTGATGTGTGTGCTTAACTAACAGAGCTGAACCTTTCTTTTCATAGAGCGGTTTTGAAACACTCTTTTTGTAGAATCTGCATGTGGATATTTAGAAAGCTTTGAGGATTTCGTTGGAAACGGGAAAATCTTCACATAAAATCTAGACAGAAGCATTCTCAGAAACGTCTTTGGGGTGCTAACATTCAAGTCACAGAGTTGAACGTTCCTTTTCATAGAGGAGGTTTCAAACACTCTTTTTGTGGAATCTGGAAGTGGACATTTGGATCGCTTTGAGGCCTGTGGTGAAAAAGGTATTTCTTCGCATAAAAACTAGACAGAAGTATTCTCATGAACTAGTTTGTGATGTGTGTGCTCAACTACCACAGTTGAACCTTTCTTTTGATAGAGCAGTTTTTAAACACTCTTTTTGTGTAATTTGCATGTGGATATTAGGACAGCTTTGAGGATTTCGTTGGAAACGGGAAAATCTTCATATGAAATCGAGACACAAGCATTCTCAGAAACCTCTTTGGGATGTTAGCGTTCGAGTCACAGAGTTGATCACTCCCTTTCATAGAGCAAGTTTGAAGCACTCTTTTTGTAGTTTCTGGAATTGAACGTTTTGATCGCTTTGAGGCGTAAGGTGAAAAAGGAAATATCTTGACACAAAAAATACACAGAAGCCTTCTCAGAAACTACGTTGTGATGTGTTTACTCAACTAACAGAGCTGAACCTTTCTTTTGATAGAGCAGTTTTGAAACACTCTTTTTGGAGAATCGGCAGTTGGATATTTGGATAGCTTTGAGGATTTCCTTGGAAAAGGGAACATCTTCATATAAAATCTAGACAGAAGCCTTCGCAGAAACACCTTTGTGATGTTTGCATTGAAGTCAGAGAGTTGTACATTCCCTTTCATAGAGCAGCTTTGAAACACTCTTTTTGTAGTATCTGGAGATGGACATTTAGATCGCTTTGAGGCCTATGGTGAAATAGGAAATATCTTCGCATAAAAACTAGACGGAAGCACTCTCCAAAACTTCCTTGGAATGTGTGTTCTCAACTAACAGATTTGAGTCTTTCTTTTGATAGAGCAGTTTTGAAACACTCTTTTTGTAGAGTCTGCAAGTCGATATTTGGATAGCTTAGAGGATTTCGTTGGAAACGGAATATGTCCATAGAAAACCTAGACAGAAGCATTCTCAGAAAAATCTCTGTGAGGATTGCATTCAAGTCCCAGGGTTGAACATTCCCTTTCATAAAGCATGCGTGAACACAAGATTTTGTAGTATATGGAACTGGACATTTGGAGTGCTTTGTGACCTATTGTGAAAAAGGAAATATCTTCCCATATAAACTAGGCAGAAGCATTCTCAGAAAACAGTTTGTGATGTGTGTACTCAACTAACAGGGTTGAACCTTTCTTTTGAGAGAGCACTCTTGAAACACTCTTTGTAGACTCTGCAAGGCGATATTTTGACAGCTTTGAAGATTTCGTTGGAAACGGGATATCTTCATATAAAATCTCGACAGAAGCATCCTCAGAAACATCTTTGGGATGTTTGCATTCAAGTCACAGAGTTGAACATTCCCTTTCATGGAGCAGGTTTGAAACACTCTTTTTGTGGAATCTGGAAGTGGACACTTGGATCGCATTGAGGCCTACGGTGAAAAAGGGAATATCTTCGAATAAAAACTATACAGAAGCATTCTCATAAACTAGTTTGTGATGTGTGTGCTTAACTAACAGTGCTGAACCTTTCTTTTCATAGAGCGGTTTTGAAACACTCTTTTTGTAGAATCTGCATGTGGATATTTGGAAAGCTTTGAGGATTTCGTTGGAAACGGGAATATCTTCACATAAAATCTAGACAGAAGCATTCTCAGAAACGTCTTTGGGGTGTTAGCATTCAAGTCACAGAGTTGAACGTTCCTTTTCATAGAGCAGGTTTGAAACACTCTTTTTGTGGAATCTGGAAGTGGACATTTGGATCGCTTTGAGGCCTGCGGTGAAAAAGGTATATCTTCGCATAAAAACTAGACAGAAGTATTCTCATTAACTAGTCTGTGATGTGTGTGCTCAACTACCAGAGTTGAACCTTTCTTTTGATAGAGCAGTTTTGAAAAACTCTTTTTCTAGAATTTGCATGTGGATATTTGGACAGCTTAGAGGATTTCGTTGGAAACGGGAAAATCTTCATATGAAATCGAGACACAAGCATTCTCAGAAACGTCTTTGGGATGTTAGCGTTCGAGGCACAGAGTTGATCACTCCCTTTCATAGAGCAGCTTTGAAGCACTCTTTTTGTAGTATCTGGAAGTGGACGTTTTGATCGCTTTGAGGCGTAAGGTGAAAAAGGAAATATCTTGCCACAAAAACTACACAGAAGCATTCTCGGACACTACGTTGTGATGTGTTTACTCAACTAACAGAGTTGAACCTTTCCTTTCATAGAGCAGTTTTGAAACAGTCTTTTTGGAGAATCTGCAGGTGGATATTTGGATAGCTTTGAGGATTTCCTTGGAAAAGGGAATATCTTCATATAAAATCTAGACAGAAGCATTCGCAGAAACACCTTTGGGATGTTTGCATTGAAGTCAGAGAGTTGTACATTCCCTTTCATAGAGCAGCTTTGAAACACTCTTTTTGTAGTATGTGGAGATGGACATTTAGATCGCTTTGAGGCCTATGGTGAAATAGGAAATATCTTCGCATAAAAACTAGACGGAAGCAGTCTCCAAAACTGCTTGGAATGTGTGTACTCAACTAACAGAGTTGAATCTTTCTGTTGATAGAGCAGTTTTGAAACACTCTTTTTGTAGAGTCTGCAAGTGGATATTTGGATAGCTTAGAGGATTTCGTTGGAAACGGGAATATGTCCATACAAAACCTAGACAGAAGCATTCTCAGAAAAATCTCTGTGAGGATTGCATTCATGTCCCAGTGTTGAACATTCCCTTTCATAAAGCAGGTGTGAACACAAGATTTTGTAGTATATGGAACTGGACATTTGGAGTGCCTTGTGACCTATTGTGAAAAAGGAAATATCTTCCCATATAAACTAGGCAGAAGCATTCTCAGAAACCAGATTGTGATGTGAGTACTCAACTAACAGGGTTGAACCTTTCTTTTGAGAGAGCACTCTTGAAACACTCTTTTTGTAGACTCTGCAATGGGATATTTGGACAGCTTTGAGGATTTCGTTGGAAACGGGATATCTTCATATAAAATCTCGACAGAAGCATCCTCAGAAACATCTTTGGGATGTTTGCATTCAAGTCACAGAGTTGAACACTCCCTATCATGGAGCAGGTTTGAAAAACTCTTTTTGTAAAATCTGGAAGTGGACATTTGGATCGCATTGAGGCTTACGGTGAAAAAGGGAATATCTTCGAATAAAAACTAGATAGAAGCATTATCATAAACTAGTTTGTGATGTGTGTGCTTAACTAACAGAGCTGAACCTTTCTTTTCATAGAGCGGTTTTAAAACACTCTTTTTGTAGAATCTGCATGTGGATATTTGGAAAGCTTTGAGGATTTCGTTGGAAACGGGAAAATCTTCACATAAAATCTAGACAGAAGCATTCTCAGAGAAGTCTTTGGGGTGCTAACATTCAAGTCACAGAGTTGAACGTTCCTTTTCATAGAGGAGGTTTCAAACACTCTTTTTGTGGAATCTGGAAGTGGACATTTGGATCGCTTTGAGGCCTGTGGTGAAAAAGGTATTTCTTCGCATAAAAACTAGACAGAAGTATTCTCATGAACTAGTTTGTGATGTGTGTGCTCAACTACCACAGTTGAACCTTTCTTTTGATAGAGCAGTTTTTAAACACTCTTTTTGTGTAATTTGCATGTGGATATTTGGACAGCTTTGAGGATTTCGTTGGAAACGGGAAAATCTTCATATGAAATCGAGACACAAGCATTCTCAGAAACCTCTTTGGGATGTTAGCGTTCGAGTCACACAGTTGATCACTCCCTTTCATAGAGCAGCTTTGAAGCACTCTGTTTGTAGTATCTGGAAGTGGACGTTTTGATCGCTTTGAGGCGTTAGATGAAAAAGGAAATATCTTGCCACAAAAACTACACAGAAGCATTCTCAGAAACTACGTTGTGATGTGTTTACTCAACTAACAGAGTTGAACCTTTCTTTTGATAGAGCAGTTTTGAAACACTCTTTTTGGAGAATCTGCAGGTGGATATTTGGATAGCTTTGAGGATTTCCTTGGAAAAGGGAATATCTTCATATAAAATCTAGACAGAAGCCTTCGCAGAAACACCTTTGTGATGTTTGCATTGAAGTCAGAGAGTTGTACATTCCCTTTCATAGAGCAGCTTTCAAACACTCTTTTTGTAGTATCTGGAGATGGACATTTACATCGCTTTGAGGCCTATGGTGAAATAGGAAATCTCTTCGCATAAAAACTAGACGGAAGCAGTCTCCAAAACTTGCTTGGAATGTGTGTACTCAACTAACAGAGTTGAATCTTTCTTTTGATAGAGCAGTTTTGAAACACTCTTTTTGTAGAGTCTACAAGTGGATATTTGGATAGCTTAGAGGATTTCGTTGGAAACGGGAATATGTCCATACAAAACCTAGACAGAAGCATTCTCAGAAAAATCTCTGTGAGGATTACATTCAAGTGCCAGTGTTGAACATTCCCTTTCATAAAGCAGGTGTGAACACAAGATTTTGTAGTATATGGAACTGGACATTTGGGGTGCTTTGTGACCTATGGTGAAAAAGGAAATATCTTCCCATATAAACTAGGCAGAAGCATTCTCAGAAACCGGTTTGTGATGTGTGTACTCAACTAACAGGGTTGAACCTATCTTTTGAGAGAGCACTCTTGAAACACTCTTTTTGTAGACTCTGCAAGGGGATACGTTGACAGCTTTGAGGATTTCGTTGGAAACTGGAATATCTTCACATAATATCTAGACAGAAGCATTTTCAGAACCGTCTTTGGGGTGTCAGCATTCAAGTCACAGATTTGAACGTACCTTTTCATAGAGCAGGTTTGAAACATTCTTTCTGTGCAATCTGGAAGTGGACATGTGGATCGCATTGAGGCCTGCGGTGAAAAAGGTGTATCTTCGCATAAAAACTAGACAGAAGTATTCTCATGAACTAGTTTGTGATGTGTGTGCTCAACTACCAGAGTTGAACCTTTCTTTTGATACAGCAGTTTTTAAACACTCTTTTTGTGGAATTTGCATGTGGATATTTGGACAGCTTTGAGGATTTCGTTGGAAACGGGAATATCTTCATATGAAATCGAGACACAAGCATTCTCAGAAACCTCTTTGGGATGTTAGCGTTCGAGTCACAGAGTTGATCACTCCCTTTCATAGAGCAGGTTTGAAGCACTCTTTTTGTAGTATCTAGAAGTGGACGTTTTGATCGCTTTGAGGCGTAAGGTGAAAAAGGAAAAATCTTGCCTCAAAAACTACACAGAAGCATTCTCAGAAATTTATTTGTGATGTGCGCCCTCAACTAACAGTGTTGAACCTTTCTTTTGATAGAGCAGTTTTGAAACACTCTTTTTGTAAAATCTGCAAGAACATATTTGGACAGCTTTGAGGATTTCGTTGGAAACGGGATTGTCTTCATATAAACTCTAGACAGAAGCATTCTCAGAAACTTCATTGGGATGTTTCTATTGAAGTCGCAGTGTTGAACAGTCCCTTTCATGGAGCAGGTTTGAAACACTCTTTTTGTAGTATCTGGAAGTGGACATTTGTAGCGCTTTCAGGGCTATGTTGAAAAAGGAAATATCTTCCCATAAAAACTAGACAGAAGCATTCTCTGAAACTAGTTTCTGAGTTGTGTCCTCAAATAACAGAGTTGAATATTTCTTTTGACAGAACAGTTTTTTAACACTCTTTTTGTGGAATCTGCAAGTGGATATTTTGCTGGCTTTGAGGATTTCGTTGGAAACGGGAATACATACAAAAAGCAGACAGCAGCGTTGTGAGAAACGTCTTTATGATGTTTGCATTCAAGTCACAGAGTTGAACGTTCCGTATCATAGAGCAGGTTGGAAACACGCCTTTTGTCATATCTGGAAGTGTCCATTTGGAGTGCATTCAGGCTTGTGTTGAAAAAGGAAATACCTTCCCATAGAAACCAGACAGAAGCATTCTCAGAAACTTATTTGTGATGTGTGTACTCAACTAACAGAATTCAACAATCGTTTTGAAGGAGCAGTTTTGAAACACTCTTTTTGTGGAATCTGCAAGTGCATATTTAGCTAGATTTGAGGATTTCGTTGGAAACGGGATTACATATAAAAAGCAGGCCGCAGCATTCTCAGAAACTTCTTTGTGATGTTTGCATTCAAGTCACAGAGTTGAACATTCCCTTTCATAGAGCAGGATTGAAAAACTCTTTTTGTAGAATCTGGATGTGGACATTTGGAGCGCTTTCAGGCCTATGGTGAAAAAGGAAATATCTTCCCCTGAAAACTAGACAGAAGCATTCTCAGAAACTTATTTGTGATGTGTGCCCTCAACTAACAATGTTGAACCTTTCTTTTGATAGAGCAGTTTTGAAACACTATTTTGTTAAATCTGCAAGAGGATATTTGGATAGCTTTGAGGATTTCGTTGGAAACGGGATTGTCTTCATATAAACTCTAGACAGAAGCATTCTCAGAAATTTCTTTGGGATGTTTCAATTGAAGTCACAGTGTTGAACATTCCCTTTGTTAGAGCAGGTTTGAAACACTCTTCTTGTAGTATCTGGAAGTGGACATTTGGAGCGCTCTCAGGACTACCGTGAAAAAGGAAATATCTTCCAATGAAAGCTAGATAGAAGCAATGTCAGAAACTTTTTTATGATGTATCTGCTCAGCTAACAGAGTTGAACCTTTCTTTTGAGAGAGCAGCTTTGAAGCACTCTTTTTGTGGAATATGCAAGTGGATATTTGTCTAGCTTTGAGGATTTCGTTGGAAACGGGATTACATATAAAAAGCAGACAGCAGCATTCCCAGAAACTTCTTTGTGATGTTTGCATTCAAGTCACAGAGTTGAACATTCCCTTTCATAGAGCAGGTTTGAAACACTCTTTTTGTAGTATCTGGATGTGGACATTTGGAGCGCTTTCAGGCCTATGGTGAAAAAGGAAATATCTTCCCCTGAAAACTAGACAGAAGCATTCTCAGAAACTTATTTTGATGTGCGCCCTCAAGTAACAGTGTTGAACATTTCTTTTGATAGAGCAGTTTTGAAACACTCTTTTTGTAGAATCTGCAAGTGGATATTTGGATAGCCTAGAGGATTTCGTTGGAAACGGGAATATGTCCATACAAAACCTAGACAGAAGCATTCTCAGAAAAATCTCTGTGAGGATTGCATTCAAGTCCCAGTGTTGAACATTCCCTTTCATAAAGCAGGTGTGAACACAAGATTTTGTAGTATATGGTACTGGACATTTGGAGTGCTTTGTGACCTATTGTGAAAAAGGAAATATCTTCCCATATAAACTAGGAAGAAGCATTCTCAGAAACCAGTTTGTGATGTGCGTACTCAACTAACAGGGTTGAACCTTTCTTTTGAGAGAGCATGCTTGAAAAACTCTTTTTGTAGACT
Source organism: Homo sapiens (assembly GCF_000001405.40). Classification (NCBI taxonomy): domain Eukaryota; kingdom Metazoa; phylum Chordata; class Mammalia; order Primates; family Hominidae; genus Homo; species Homo sapiens. The sequence goes on from NT_187371.1 coordinate 32,350, forward strand.
CTGCAAGGGGATATTTGGACAGCTTTGAGGATTTCGTTGGAAACGGGATATCTTCATATAAAATCTCGACAGAAGCATCCTCAGAAACATCCTTGGGATGTTTGCATGCAAGTCACAGAGTTGAACTTTCCCTTTCATGGAGCAGGTTTGAAACACTCTTTTTGTGGAATCTGGAAGTGGATATTTGGATCGCATTGAGGCCTACGGTGAAAAAGGGAATATCTTCGAATAAAAACTAGACAGAAACATTCTCATAAACTACTTTGTGATGTGTGTGGTTAACTAACAGAGCTGAACCTTTCTTTTCATAGAGCGGTTTGGAAACACTCTTTTTGTACAATCTGCCTGTGGATATTTGGAAAGCTTTGAGGATTTCTTTGGAAACGGGAATATCTTCACATAAAATCTAGACAGAAGCATTCTCAGAAACGTCTTTGGGGTGTTAGCATTCAAGTCACAGAGTTGAACGTTCCTTTTCATAGAGCAGGTTTGAAACACTCTTTTTGTGGAATCTGGAAGTGGACATTTGGATCGCTTTGAGGCCTGCGGAGAAAAAGGTATACCTTCGCATAAAAGCTAGACAGAATTATTCTCACGAACTAGCTTGTGATGAGTGTGCTCAACTACCAGAGTTGAACCTTTCTTTTGATAGAGCAGTTTTGAAACACTCTTTTTGTAGAATTTGCATGTGGCTATTTGGACACCTTTGAGGATTTCGTTGGAAACGGGAAAATCTTCATATGAAATCGAGACACAAGCATTCTCAGAAACCTCTTTGGGATGTCAGCGTTCAAGTCACACAGTTGATCCCTCCTTTCATAGAGCAGGTTTGAAGCACTCTTTTTGTAGTATCTGGAAGTGGACGTTTTGATTGCTTTGAGGCGTAAGGTGAAAAAGGAAATATCTTGCCACAAAAACTACACAGAAGCATTCTCAGAAACTACGTTGTGATGTGTTTACTCAATTAACAGAGTTGAACCTTTCTTTTGATAGAGCAGTTTTGAAACACTCTTTTTGGAGAATATGCCGGTGGATATTGGGATAGCTTTGTGGTTTTCCGTGGAAAAGGGAATATCTTCATATAAAATCTAGACAGAAGCATTCGCAGAAACACCTTTGCGATGTTTACATTGAAGTCAGAGAGTTCTACATTCCCTTACATAGAGCAGCTTTGAAACACTCTTTTTGTAGTATCTGGAGATGGACATTTAGATCGCTTTGAGGCCTATGGTGAAATAGGAAAATCTTCGCATAAAAACTAGATTGAAGCAGTCTCCAAAACTTGCTTGGAATGTGTGTACTCAACTAACAGAGTTGAATCTTTCTTTTGATAGAGCAGTTTTGAAACACTCTTTTTGTAGAGTCTGCAAGTGGATATTTGGATAGCTTAGAGGATTTTGCTGGAAACGGGAATATGTCCATACAAAACCTAGACAGAAGCATTCTCAGAAAAATCTCTGTGAGGATTGCATTCAAGTCCCGGTGTTGAACATTCCCTTTCATAAAGCAGGTGTGAACACAAGATTTTGTAGTATATGGAAGTGGACATTTGGAGTGCTTTGTGACCTTTTGTGAAAAAGGAAATATCTTCCCATATAAACTAGGCAGAAGAATTCTCAGAAACCAGTTTGTGATGTGTGTACTCAACTAACAGGGTTGAACCTTTCTTTTGAGAGAGCACTCTTGAAACACTCTTTTTGTAGAATCTGCAAGGGGATATTTTGTCAGCTTTGAGGATTTCGTTGGAAAAGGGATATCTTCATATAAAATCTCGACAGAAGCATCCTCAGAAACATCTTTGGGATGTTTGCATTCAAGTCACAGAGTTGAACATTCCCTTTCATGGAGCAGGTTTGAAACACTCTTTTTGTGGAATCTGGAAGTAGACATTTGGATCGCATTGAGGCCTACGGTGAAAAAGGGAATATCTTCGAATAAAAACTAGACAGAAGCATTCTCATAAACTAGTTTGTGATCTGTGTGCTTAACTAACAGAGCTGAACCTTTCTTTTCATAGAGCGGTTTTGAAACACTCTTTTTGTAGAATCTGCATGTGGATATTTGGAAAGCTTTGAGGATTTCGTTGGAAACCGTAATATCTTCACATAAAATCTAGACAGAAGCATTCTCAGAAACGTCTTTGGGGTGTTAGCATTCAAGTCACAGAGTTGAACGTTCCTTTTCATAGAGCAGGTTTGAAACACTCTTTTTGTGGAATCTGGAAGTGGACATTTGGATCGCTTTGAGGCCTGCGGTGAAAAAGGTATATCTTCGCATAAAAACTAGACAGAAGTATTCTCATGAACTAGTTTGTGATGTGTGTGCTCAACTACCAGAGTTGAACCTTTCTTTGGATAGAGCAGTTTTGAAACACTCTTTTTGTAGAATTTGCATGTGGATATTTGGACAGCTTTGAGGATTTCGCTGGAAACGGGAAAATCTTCATATGAAATCGAGACACAAGCATTCTCAGAAACTTCTTAGGGATGTTAGCGTTCGAGTCACACAGTTGATCACTCCCTTTCATAGAGCAGGTTTGAAGCACTCTTTTTGTAGTATCTTGAAGTGGACGTTTTGATCGCTTTGAGACATAAGGTGAAAAAGGAAATATCTTGCCACAAAAACTACACAGAAGCATTCTCAGAAACTACGTTGTGATGTGTTTACTCAACTAACAGAGTTGAACCTTTCTTTTGATAGAGCAGTTTTGAAACACTCTTTTTGGAGAATCTGCAGGTGGATATTTGGATAGATTTGAGGATTTCCTTGGAAAAGGGAATATCTTCATATAAAATCTAGACCGAAGCCTTCGCAGAAACACCTTTGTGATGTTTGCATTGAAGTCAGAGAGTTGTACATTCCCTGTCATAGAGCAGCTTTGAAACACTCTTTTTGTAGTATCTGGAGATGCACAGTTAGATCACGTTGAGGCCTATGGTGAAATAGGAAATATCTTCGCATAAAAACTAGACGGAAGCAGTCTCCAAAACTTGCTTGGAATGTGTGTACTCAACTAACAGAGTTGAATCTTTCTTTTGATAGAGCAGTTTTGAAACACTCTTTTTGTAGAGTCTGCAAGTGGATATTTGGATAGCTTAGAGGATTTCGTTGGAAACGGGAATATGTCCATAAAAAACCTAGACAGAAGCATTCTCAGAAAAATCTCTGTGAGGATTGCATTCAAGTCCCAGTGTTGAACATTCCCTTTCATGAAGCAGGTGTGAACACAAGATGTTGTAGTATATGGAAGTGGACATTTGGAGTGCTTTGTGACCTATTGTGAAAAAGGAAATATCTTCCCATATAAACTAGGCAGAAGCATTCTCAGAAACCAGGTTGTGATGTGTGTACTCAACTAACAGGGTTGAACCTTTCTTTTGAGAGAGCACGCTTGAAAAACTCTTTTTGTAGACTCTGCAATGGGATATTTGGACAGCTTTGAGGATTTCGTTGGAAACGGGATATCTTCATATAAAATCTCGACAGAAGCATCCTCAGAAACATCTTTGGGATGTTTGCATTCAAGTCACAGAGTTGAACATTCCCTTTCATGGAGCAGGTTTGAAACACTCTTTTTGTGGAATCTGGAAGGGGACTTTTGGGTCGCATTGAGGCCTACGGTGAAAAAGGGAATATCTTCGAATAAAAACTAGACAGAAGCATTCTCATAAACTAGTTTGTGATGTGTGTGCTTAACTAACAGAGCTGAACCTTTCTTTTCATTGAGCGGTTTTGAAACACTCTTTTTGTAGAATCTGCAAGTGGATATTTGGCTGGCTCTGAGGATTTCGTTGGAAACGGGAATACATTTAAAAAGCAGACGGCAGCATTCTCAGCAACTTCTTTGTGATGTTTCCATTGAAGTCCCAGTGTTGAACATTCCATTTGATAGAGCAGGTTTGAAACACGCCTTTTGTCATGTCTGGAAGCTGTCCATTTGGAGCACATTCCGGCTTGTGTTGAAAAAGGAAATATCCTCTCATAAAAACTAGACAGAAGCATTCTCTGAAACTTATTTGTGATGTGTGTACTCAACTAACAGAATTGAACCATCGTTTTGAAAGAGCAATTTTGAAACACTCTTTTTCTGGAATCTGCAAGTCGATATTTGTCTAGCATTGAGGATTTCGTTGGAAACGGGATTACATATAAAAGCAGACAGCAGCATTCCCAGAAACTTCTTTGTGATGTTTGCATTCAAGTCACAGAGTTTAACATTCCCTTTCATAGAGCAGGTTTGAAACACTCTTTTTGTAGTATCTGGATGTGGACATTTGGAGCGCTTTCAGGCCTATGGTGAAAAAGGAAATATCTTCCCCTGAAAACTAGACAGAAGCATTCTCAGAATCTTATTTGTGATGTGCGCCCCCAACTAACAGTGTTGAACCTTTCTTTTGATAGAGCAGTTTTGAAACACACTTTTTGTAAAATCTGCAAGAAGATATTTGGATAGCTTTGAGGATTTCGTTGGAAACGGGATTGTCTTCATATAAACTCTAGACAGAAGCTTTCTCAGAAACTTCATTGTGATGTTTCAACTGAAGTCACAGTGTTGAACAGTCCCTTTCATAGAGCAGGTTTGAAACACTCTTTTTGTAGTATCTGGAAGTGGACATTTGGAGCGCTCTCAGGACTACTGTGAAAAAGGAAATATCTTCCAATAAAAGCTAGATAGAAGCAATGTCAGAAATTTTTCATGATGTATCTACTCAGCTAACAGAGTTGAACCTTTCTTTTGAGAGACCAGTTTTAAAACACTCTTTTTGGGGAATATGCAAGTGGATATTAGGCCAGCTTGGAGGATTTCGTTGGAAACGGGAATCCATATAAAAAGCAGACAGCAGCATTGTCAGAAACTTCTTTCTCATGTTTGCATTGAAGTCCCAGAGTTCAACATTCCCTTTAATAGAGCAGGTCTGAAACACGCCTTTTGTCATATCTGGACGTTGTCCATTTGGAGCGCATTCCGGCTTGTCTTGAAAAAGGAAATATCCTCCCATAAAAACTAGATAGAAGCATTCTCAGAAACTTATTTGTGATGTGTGTACTCAACTAACAGAATTGAACCATCGTTGTGGAAGAGCAGTTTGGAAACACTCTTTTTGTGGAATCTGCAAGTGGATATTTGTCTAGCTTTGAGGATTTCGTTGGAAACGGGATTACATATAAAAAGCAGGCCGCAGCATTCCCAGAAACTTCTTTGTGACGGTTGCATTCAAGTCACAGAGTTGAACATTCCCTTTCATAGAGAAGGTTTGAAACACTCTTTTTGTAGTATCTGGATGTGGACATTTGGAGCGCTTTCAGGCCTATGGTGAAAAAGGAAATATCTTCCCCTGAAAACTAGACAGAAGCATTCTCAGAAACTTATTTGTGATGTGCGCCCTCAAGTAACAGTGTTGAACCTTTCTTTTGATAGAGCAGTTTTGAAACACTCTTTTTGTAAAATCTGCAAGAGGATATTTGGATAGCTTTGAGGATTTCGTTGGAAACGGGATTGTCTTCATATAATCTCTAGACAGAAGCATTCTCATAAATTTCTTTGGGATGTTTTAATTGAAGTCACAGTGTTGAACATTCCCTGTCATAGAGCAGGTTTGAAACACTCTTCTTGTAGTATCTGGAAGTGGACATTTGGAGCGCTCTCAGGACTACAGTGAAAAAGGAAATATCTTCCAATAAAAGCTAGATAGAAGCAATGTCAGAAACTTTTTCATGATGTATCTGCTCAGCTAACAGAGTTGAACCTTTCTTTTGAGAGAGCAGTTTTTAAACACTCTTTTTGTGGAATCTGCAAGTGGATATTTGTCTAGCTTTGATGATTTCGTTGGAAACGGGATTACATATAAAAAGCAGACAGCAGCATTCCCAGAAACTTCTTTGTGATGTTTGCATTCAAGTCACAGAGTTGAACATTCCCTTTCATAGAGCAGCTTTGAAACACTCTTTTTGTAGTATCTGGATGTGGACATTTGGAGCGCTTTCAGGCCTATGGTGAAAAAGGAAATATCTTCCCCTGAAAACTAGACAGAAGCATTCTCAGAAACTTATTTGTGATGTGCGCCCTCAACTAACAGTGTTGAACCTTTCTTTTGATAGAGCAGTTTTGAAACACTCTTTTTGTAGAGTCTGCAAGTGGATATTTGGATAGCTTAGAGGATTTCGTTGGAAACGGGAATATGTCCATACAAAACCTAGACAGAAGCATTCTCAGAAAAATCTCTGTGAGGATTGCATTCAAGTCCCAGTGTTGAACATTCCCTTTCATAAAGCAGGTGTGAACACAAGATGTTGTAATATATGGAACTGGACATTTGGAGTGCTTTGTGACCTATTGTGAAAAAGGAAATATCTTCCCATATAAACTAGGCAGAAGCATTCTCAGAAACCAGGTTGTGATGTGTGTACTCAACTAACAGGGTTGAACCTTTCTTTTGAGAGAGCACGCTTGAAAAACTCTTTTTGTAGACTCTGCAAGGGGATATTTGGACAGCTTTGAGGATTTCGTTGGAAAAGGGATATCTTCATATAAAATCTCGACAGAAGCATTCTCAGAAACATCTTTCTTTGGGATGTTTGCATGCAAGTCACAGAGTTGAACTTTCCCTTTCATGGAGCAGGTTTGAAACACTCTTTTTGTGGAATCTGGAAGTAGACATTTGGATCGCATTGAGGCCTACGGTGAAAAAGGGAATATCTTCGAATAAAAACTAGACGGAAGCATTCTCATAAACTACTTTGTGATGTGTGCGGTTAACTAACAGAGCTGAACCTTTCTTTTCATAGAGCGGTTTTGAAACACTCTTTTTTTAGAATCTGCCTGTGGATATTTGGAAAGCTTTGAGGATTTCTTTGGAAACGGGAATATCTTCACATAAAATATAGACAGAAGCATTCTCAGAAACGTCTTTGGGGTGTTAGCATTCAAGTCACAGAGTTGAACGCTCCTTTTCATAGAGCAGGTTTGAAACATTCTTTTTGTGGAATCTGGAAGTGGACATTTGGATCGCTTTGAGGCCTGCGGTGAAAAAGGTATATCTTCGCATAAAAACTAGACAGAAGTATTCTCAGGAACTAGTTTGTGATGTGTGTGCTCAACTACCAGAGTTGAACCTTTCTTTTGATAGAGCAGTTTTGAAACACTCTTTTTGTAGAATTTGCATGTGGCTATCTGGACAGCTTTGAGGATTTCGTTGGAAACGGGAAAATCTTCATATGAAATCGAGACACAAGCATTCTCAGAAACCTCTCTGGGATGTTAGCGTTCGAGTCACACAGTTGATCACTCCCTTTCATAGAGCAGGTTTGAAGCACTCTTTTTGTAGTATCTGGAAGTGGACGTTTTGATCGCTTTGAGGCGTAAGGTGAAAAAGGAAATATCTTGCCACAAAAACTACACAGAAGCATTCTCAGAAACTACGTTGTGATGTGTTTACTCAACTAACAGAGTTGAACCTTTCTTTTGATAGAGCAGTTTTGAAACACTCTTTTTGGAGAATCTGCAGGTGGATATTTGGATAACTTTGAGGATTTCCTTGGAAAAGGGAATATCTTCATATAAAATCTAGACCGAAGCCTTCGCAGAAACACCTTTGTGATGTTTGCATTGAAGTCAGAGAGTTGTACATTCCCTGTCATAGAGCAGCTTTGAAACACTCTTTTTGTAGTATCTGGAGATGCACAGTTAGATCACGTTGAGGCCTATGGTGAAATAGGAAATATCTTCGCATAAAAACTAGACGGAAGCAGTCTCCAAAACTTGCTTGGAATGTGTGTACTCAACTAACAGAGTTGAATCTTTCTTTTGATAGAGCAGTTTTGAAACACTCTTTTTGTAGAGTCTGCAAGTGGATATTTGGATAGCTTAGAGGATTTCGTTGGAAACGGGAATATGTCCATAAAAAACCTAGACAGAAGCATTCTCAGAAAAATCTCTGTGAGGATTGCATTCAAGTCCCAGTGTTGAACATTCCCTTTCATGAAGCAGGTGTGAACACAAGATTTTGTAGTATATGGAAGTGGACATTTGGAGTGCTTTGTGACATTTTGTGAAAAAGGAAGTATCTTCCCATATAAACTAGGCAGAAGCATTCTCAGAAAGCAGTTTGTGATCTGTGTACACAACTAACAGGGTTGAACCTTTCTTTTGAGAGAACACTCTTGAAACACTCTTTTTGTAGACTCTGCAAGGGGATATTTTGACAGCTTTGAGGATTTCGTTGGAAACGGGATATCTTCATATAAAATCTCGACAGAAGCATCCTCAGAAACATCTTTGGGATGTTTGCATTCAAGTCACAGAGTTGAACATTCCCTTTCATGGAGCAGGTTTGAAACACTCTTTTGTGGAATCTGGAAGGGGACTTTTGGGTCGCATTGAGGCCTACGGTGAAAAAGGGAATATCTTCGAATAAAAACTAGACAGAAGCATTCTCATAAACTAGTTTGTGATGTGTGTGCTTAACTAACAGAGCTGAACCTTTCTTTTCATTGAGCGGTTTTGAAACACTCTTTTTGTAGAATCTGCAAGTGGATATTTGGCTGGCTCTGAGGATTTCGTTGGAAACGGGAATACATTTAAAAAGCAGACGGCAGCAGTCTCAGAAACTTCTTTGTGATGTTTCCATTGAAGTCCCAGTGTTGAACATTCCATTTGAGAGAGCAGGTTTGAAACACGCCTTTTGTCATGTCTGGAAGCTGTCCATTTGGAGCACATTCCGGCTTGTGTTGAAAAAGGAAATATCCTCTCATAAAAACTAGACAGAAGCATTCTCTGAAACTTATTTGTGATGTGTGTACTCAACTAACAGAATTGAACCATCGTTTTGAAAGAGCAATTTTGAAACACTCTTTTTCTGGAATCTGCAAGTCGATATTTGTCTAGCATTGAGGATTTCGTTGGAAACGGGATTACAAATAAAAAGCAGACAGCAGCATTCCCAGAAACATCTTTGCGATGTTTGCATTCAAGTCACTGAGTAGAACATTCCCTTTCATAGAGCAGGTTTGAAACACTCTTTTTGTAGTATCTGGATGTGGACATTTGGAGCGCTTTCAGGCCTATGGTGAAAAAGGAAATATCTTCCCCTGAAAACTAGACAGAAGCATTCTCAGAATCTTATTTGTGATGTGCGCCCCCAACTAACAGTGTTGAACCTTTCTTTTGATAGAGCAGTTTTGAAACACACTTTTTGTAAAATCTGCAAGAAGATATTTGGATAGCTTTGAGGATTTCGTTGGAAACGGGATTGTCTTCATATAAACTCTAGACAGAAGCTTTCTCAGAAACTTCATTGTGATGTTTCAACTGAAGTCACAGTGTTGAACAGTCCCTTTCATAGAGCAGGTTTGAAACACTCTTTTTGTAGTATCTGGAAGTGGACATTTGGAGCGCTCTCAGGACTACTGTGAAAAAGGAAATATCTTCCAATAAAAGCTAGATAGAAGCAATGTCAGAAATTTTTCATGATGTATCTACTCAGCTAACAGAGTTGAACCTTTCTTTTGAGAGACCAGTTTTAAAACACTCTTTTTGGGGAATATGCAAGTGGATATTAGGCCAGCTTGGAGGATTTCGTTGGAAACGGGAATCCATATAAAAAGCAGACAGCAGCATTGTCAGAAACTTCTTTGTCATGTTTGCATTGAAGTCCCAGAGTTCAACATTCCCTTTAATAGAGCAGGTCTGAAACACGCCTTTTGTCATATCTGGACGTTGTCCATTTGGAGCGCATTCCGGCTTGTGTTGAAAAAGGAAATATCCTCCCATAAAAACTAGATAGAAGCATTCTCAGAAACTTATTTGTGATGTGTGTACTCAACTAACAGAATTGAACCATCGTTGTGGAAGAGCAGTTTGGAAACACTCTTTTTGTGGAATCTGCAAGTGGATATTTGTCTAGCTTTGAGGATTTCGTTGGAAACGGGATTACATATAAAAAGCAGGCCGCAGCATTCCCAGAAACTTCTTTGTGACGGTTGCATTCAAGTCACAGAGTTGAACATTCCCTTTCATAGAGAAGGTTTGAAACACTCTTTTTGTAGTATCTGGATGTGGACATTTGGAGCGCTTTCAGGCCTATGGTGAAAAAGGAAATATCTTCCCCTGAAAACTAGACAGAAGCATTCTCAGAAACTTATTTGTGATGTGCGCCCTCAAGTAACAGTGTTGAACCTGTCTTTTGATAGAGCAGTTTTGAAACACTCTTTTTGTAAAATCTGCAAGAGGATATTTGGATAGCTTTGAGGATTTCGTTGGAAACGGGATTGTCTTCATATAAACTCTAGACAGAAGCATTCTCATAAATTTCTTTGGGATGTTTCAATTGAAGTCACAGTGTTGAACATTCCCTGTCATAGAGCAGGTTTGAAACACTCTTCTTGTAGTATCTGGAAGTGGACATTTGGAGCGCTCTCAGGACTACAGTGAAAAAGGAAATATCTTCCAATAAAAGCTAGATAGAAGCAATGTCAGAAACTTTTTCATGATGTATCTGCTCAGCTAACAGAGTTGAACCTTTCTTTTGAGAGAGCAGTTTTGAAACACTCTTTTTGTGGAATCTGCAAGTGGATATTTGTCTAGCTTTGAGGATTTCGTTGGAAACGGGATTACATATAAAAAGCAGACAGCAGCATTCCCAGAAACTTCTTTGTGATGTTTGCATTCAAGTCACAGAGTTGAACATTCCCTTTCATACAGCAGCTTTGAAACACTCTTTTTGTAGTATCTGGATGTGGACATTTGGAGCGCTTTCAGGCCTATGGTGAAAAAGGAAATATGTTCTCCTGAAAACTAGACAGAAGCATTCTCAGAAACTTATTTGTGATGTGCGCCCTCAACTAACAGTGTTGAACCTTTCTTTTGATAGAGCAGTTTTGAAACACTCTTTTTGTAGAGTCTGCAAGTGGATATTTGGATAGCTTAGAGGATTTCGTTGGAAACGGGAATATGTCCATACAAAACCTAGACAGAAGCATTCTCAGAAAAATCTCTGTGAGGATTGCATTCAAGTCCCAGTGTTGAACATTCTCTTTCATAAAGCAGGTGTGAACACAGGATGTTGTAGTATATGGAACTGGAATTTTGGAGTGCTTTGTGACCTATTGTGAAAAAGGAAATATCTTCCCATATAAACTAGGCAGAAGCATTCTCAGAAACCAGGTTGTGATGTGTGTACTCAACTAACAGGGTTGAACCTTTCTTTTGAGAGAGCACGCTTGAAAAACTCTTTTTGTAGACTCTGCAAGGGGATATTTGGACAGCTTTGAGGATTTCGTTGGAAACGGGATATCTTCATATAAAATCTCGACAGAAGCATTCTCAGAAACATCTTTCTTTGGGATGTTTGCATGCAAGTCACAGAGTTGAACTTTCCCTTTCATGGAGCAGGTTTGAAACACTCTTTTTGTGGAATCTGGAAGTAGACATTTGGATCGCATTGAGGCCTACGGTGAAAAAGGGAATATCTTCGAATAAAAACTAGACAGAAGCATTCTCATAAACTACTTTGTGATGTGTGCGGTTAACTAACAGAGCTGAACCTTTCTTTTCATAGAGCGGTTTTGAAACACTCTTTTTTTAGAATCTGCCTGTGGATATTTGGAAAGCTTTGAGGATTTCTTTGGAAACGGGAATATCTTCACATAAAATATAGACAGAAGCATTCTCAGAAACGTCTTTGGGGTGTTAGCATTCAAGTCACAGAGTTGAACGCTCCTTTTCATAGAGCAGGTTTGAAACATTCTTTTTGTGGAATCTGGAAGTGGACATTTGGATCGCTTTGAGGCCTGCGGTGAAAAAGGTATATCTTCGCATAAAAACTAGACAGAAGTATTCTCAGGAACTAGTTTGTGATGTGTGTGCTCAACTACCAGAGTTGAACCTTTCTTTTGATAGAGCAGTTTTGAAACACTCTTTTTGTAGAATTTGCATGTGGCTATCTGGACAGCTTTGAGGATTTCGTTGGAAACGGGAAAATCTTCATATGAAATCGAGACACAAGCATTCTCAGAAACCTCTTTGGGATGTTAGCCTTCGAGTCACACAGTTGATCACTCCCTTTCACAGAGCAGGTTTGAAGCACTCTTTTTGTAGTATCTGGAAGTGGACGTTTTGATCGCTTTGAGGCATAAGGTGAAAAAGGAAATATCTTGCCACAAAAACTACACAGAAGCATTCTCAGAATCTACGTTGTGATGTGTTTACTCAACTAACAGAGTTGAACCTTTCTTTTGATAGAGCAGTTTTGAAACAGTCTTTTTGGAGAATCTGCAGGTAGATATTTGGATAGCTTTGAGGATTTCCTTGGAAAAGGGAATATCTTCATATAAAATCTAGACAGAAGCCTTCGCAGAAACACCTTTGGGATGTTTGCATTGAAGTCAGAGAGTTGTACATCCCCTTTCATAGAGCAGCATTGAAACACTCTTTTTGTAGTATCTGGAGATGCACATTTAGATCACGTTGAGGCCTATGGTGAAATAGGAAATATCTTCGCATAAAAACTAGATGGAAGCAGTCTCCAAAACTTGCTTGGAATGTGTGTACTCAACTAACAGAGTTGAATCTTTCTTTTGATAGAGCAGTTTTGAAACACTCTTTTTGTAGAGTCTGCAAGTGGATATTTGGATAGCTTAGAGGATTTCGTTGGAAACGGGAATATGTCCATACAAAACCTAGACAGAAGCATTCTCAGAAAAATCTCTGTGGGGATTGCTTTCAAGTCCCGGTGTTGAACATTCCCTTTCATAAAGCAGGTGTGAACACAAGATTTTGTAGTATATGGAAGTGGACATTTGGAGTGCTTTGTGACATTTTGTGAAAAAGGAAATATCTTCCCATATAAACTAGGCAGAAAAATTCTCAGAAACCAGGTTGTGATCTGTGTACTCAACTAACAGGGTTGAACCTTTCTTTTGAGAGAGCACTCTTGAAACACTCTTTCTGTAGACTCTGCAAGGGGATATTTTGACAGCTTTGAGGATTTCGTTGGAAACGGGATATCTTCATATAAAATCTCGACAGAAGCATCCTCAGAAACATCTTTGGGATGTTTGCATTCAAGTCACAGAGTTGAACATTCCCTTTCATGGAGCAGGTTTGAAACACTCTTTTTGTGGAATCTGGAAGGGGACCTTTGGGTCGCATTGAGGCCTACGGTGAAAAAGGGAATATCTTCGAATAAAAACTAGACGGAAGCATTCTCATAAACTAGTTTGTGATGTGTGTACTTAACTAACAGAGCTGAACCTTTCTTTTCATAGAGCGGTTTTGAAACACTCTTTTTATAGAATCTGCATGTGGATATTTGGAAAGCTTTGAGGATATCGTTGGAAACGGGAATATCTTCACATAAAATATAGACAGAAGCATTCTCAGAAACGTCTTTGGGGTGTTAGCATTCAAGTCACAGAGTTGAACGTTCCTTTTCATAGAGCAGGTTTGAAGCCCTCTTTTTGTGGAATCTGGAAGTGGACATTTGGATCGCTTTGAGGCCTGCGGTGAAAATGGTATATCTTCACATAAAAACTGGACAGAAGTATTCTCACGAACTAGTTTCTGATGTGTGTGCTCAACTAACAGAGTTGAACCTTTCTTTTGACAGAGCAGTTTTTAAACACTCTTTTTGGAGAATCTGCAGGTGGATATTTGGATAGCTTTTAGGATTTCCTTGGAAAAGGGAATATCTTCATATAAAATCTAGACAGAAGCCTTCGCGGAAACACCTTTTTGATGTTTGCATTGAAGTCAGAGAATTGTACATTCCCTTTCATAGAGCAGCTTTGAAACACGCTTTTTGTAGTATCTGGAGATGGACATTTAGATCGCTTTGAGGGCTATGGTGAAATGGGAAATATCTTCGGATAACAACTAGTCGGAAGCAGTCTCCAAAACTTGTTTGGAATGTGTGTACTCAACTAACAGAGTTGAATCTTTCTTTTGATAGAGCAGTTTTGAAACACTCTTTTTTTACAGTCTGCAAGTGGATATTTGGATAGCTTAGAGGATTTCGTTGGAAACGGGAATATGTCCATACAAAACCTAGACAGAAGCATTCTCAGAAAAATCTCTGTGAGGATGGCATTCAAGTGCCAGTGTTGAACATTCTCTTTCATAAAGCAGGTGTGAACACAAGATTTTGTAGTATATGGAACTGGACATTTGGGGTGCTTTGTGACCTATTGTGAAAAAGGAAATATCTTCCCATATAAACTACGCAGAAGCATTCTCAGAAACCGGTTTGTGATGTGTGTACTCAACTAACAGGGTTGAACCTATCTTTTGAGAGAGCACTCTTGAAACACTCTTTTTGTATATTCTGCAAGGGGATATTTTGACAGCTTTGAGGATTTCGTTCGAAACTGGAATATCTTCACATAAAATCTAGACAGAAGCATTTTCAGAACCGTCTTTGGGGTGTCAGCATTCAAGTCACATATTTGAACGTTCCTTTTCATAGAGCAGGTTTGAAACACTCTTTCTGTGGAATCTGGAAGTGGACATGTGGATCGCTTTGAGGCCTGTGGTGAAAAAGGTGTATCTTCGCATAAAAACTAGACAGAAGTATTCTCATGAACTAGTTTGTGATGTGTGTGCTCAACTACCAGAGTTGAACCCTTCTTTTGATAGAGCAGTTATATACACTCTTTTTGTGGAATTTGCATGTGGATATTTGGACAGCTTTGAGGATTTCGTTGGAAACGGGAAAATATTCATATGAAATCGAGACACAAGCATTCTCAGAAACCTCCTTGGGATGTTAGCGTTCGAGTCACAGAGTTGATCACTCCCTTTAATAGAGCAGGTTTGAAGCACTCTTTTTGTAGTATCTGGAAGTGGACGTTTTGAACGCTTTGAGGCGTAAGGTGAAATAGGAAATATCTTGCCTCAAAAACTACACAGAAGCATTCTCAGAAACTTATTTGTGATGTGCGCCCTCAACTAACAGTGTTGAACCTTTCTTTTGATAGAGCAGTTTTGAAACACTCTTTTTGTAAAATCTGCAAGAAGATATTTGGATAGCTTTGAGGATTTCGTTGGAAACGGGATTCTCTTCATATAAACTCTAGACAGAAGCATTCTCAGAAACTTCATTGGGATGTTTCTATTGAAGTCGCAGTGTTGAACAGTCCCTTTCATGGAGCAGGTTTGAAACACTCTTTTTGTAGTATCTGGACGTGGACATTTGTAGCGCTTTCAGGGCTATATTGAAAAAGGAAATATCTTCCCATAAAAACTAGACAGAAGCATTCTCTGAACCTAGTTTCTGAGATGTGTCCTCAACTAACAGAGTTGAACATTTCTTTTGACAGAACAGTTTTGAAACACTCTTTTTGTGGAATCTGCAAGTGGATACTTTGCTGGCTTTGAGGATTTCGTTGGAAACGGGAATACATATAAAAAGCAGACAGCAGCGTTGTGAGAAACTTCTTTCTGATGTTTGCATTCAAGTCACAGAGTTGAACGTTCCGTATCATAGAGCAGGTTGGAAACATGCCTTTTGTCATATCTGGAAGTGTCCATTTGAAGCGCATTCAACCTTGTGTTGAAAAAGGAAATACTTTCAAATAGAAACCAGACAGAAGCATTCTCAGAAACTTATTTGTGATGTGTGTACTCAAATAACAGAATTCAACAATCGTTTTGAAGGAGCAGTTTTGAAACACTCTTTTTGTGGAATCTGCAAGTGCATATTTAGCTAGATTTGACGATTTCGTTGGAAACGGGATTACATATAAAAAGCAGACAGCAGCATTCTCAGAAACTCCTTTGTGATGTTTGCATTCAAGTCACAGAGTTGAACATTCCCTTTCATAGAGCAGGATTGAAAAACTCTTTTTGTAGAATCTGGATGTGGACATTTGGAGTGCTTTCAGGCCTATGGTGAAAAAGGAAATATCTTCCCCTGAAAGCTAGACAGAAGCACTCTCAGAAACTTAATTGTGATGTGTGCCCTCAACTAACAGTGTTGAACCTTTCTTTTCATAGAGCAGATTTGAAACACAATTTTGTTAAATCTGCAAGAGGATATTTGGATAGCTTTGAGGATTTCGTTGGAAACGGGATTGTCTTCATATAAACTCTAGACAGAAGCATTCTTAGAAATTTCTTTGGGATGTTTCAATTGACGTCACAGTGTTGAACATTCCCTTTGATAGAGCAGGTTTGAAACACTCTTCTTGTAGTATCTGGAAGTGGACATTTGGAGCGCTCTCAGGACTACAGTGAAAAAGGAAATATCTTCCAATAAAAGCTAGATAGAAGCAATGTCAGAAACTTTTTCATGATGTATCTGCTCAGCTAACAGAGATGAACCTTTCTTTTGAGAGAGCAGCTTTGAAACACTCTTTTTGTGGAATATGCAAGTGGATATTTGTCTAGCTTTGAGGATTTCGTTGGAAACGGGATTACATATAAAAAGCAGACAGCAGCATTCCCAGAAACTTCTTTGTGATGTTTGCATTCAAGTCACAGAGTTGAACATTCCCTTTCACAGAGCAGGTTTGAAACACTCTTTTGGTAATATCTGGATGTGGACATTTGGAGCGCTTTCAGGCCTATGGTGAAAAAGGAAATATCTTCCCCTGAAAACTAGACAGAAGCATTCTCAGAAACTTATTTGTGATGTGTGTAGTCAACTAACAGTGTTGAACCTTTCTTTTGGTAGAGCAGTTTTGAAACACTCTTTTTGTAAAATCTGCAAGAGGATATTTGGATAGCTTTGAGGATTTCGTTGGAAACGGGATTGTCTTCATATAAACTCTAGACAGAAGCATTCTCAGAAATTTCTTTCGGATGTTTCAATTGAAGTCACAGTGTTGAACATTCCCTGTCATAGAGCAGGTTTGAAACACTCTTTTTGTAGTATCTGGAAGTGGACATTTGGAGCGCTCTCAGGACTACAGTGAAAAAGGAAATATCTTCCAATAAAAGCTAGATAGAAGCAATGTCAGAAACTTTTTCATGATGTATCTACTCAGCTAACAGAGTTGAACCTTTCTTTTGAGAGAGCAGTTTTGAAACACTCTTTTTGTGGAATCTGCAAGTGGATATTTGTCTAGCTTTGAGGATTTCGTTGGAAACGGGATTACATATAAAAAGCAGACAGCAGCATTCCCAGAAACTTCTTTGTGATGTTTGCATTCAAGTCACAGAGTTGAACATTCCCTTTCATAGAGCAGGTTTGAAACACTCTTTTTGTACTATCTGGATGTGGACATTTGGAGGGCTTTCAGGCCTATGGTGCAAAAGGAAATATCTTCCCCTGAAAACTAGACAGAAGCATTCTCAGAAACTTATTTGTGATGTGCGCCCTCAACTAACAGTGTTGAACCTTTCTTTTCATAGAGCAGTTTTTAAACACTCTTTTTCTAAAATCTGCAAGAGGATATTTGGATAGCTTTGAGGATTTCGTTGGAAACGGGATTGTCTTCATATAAACTCTAGACAGAAGCATTCTCAGAAACTTCATTGGGATGTTTCAATTGAAGTCACAGTGTTGAACAGTCCCTTTCATAGAGCAGGTTTGAAACACACTTTTCGTAGTATCTGGAAGTGGACATTTAGAGCGCTCTCAGGACTACGGTGAAAAAGGAAATATTCTCCAATAAAAGCTAGATAGAAGCAATGTCAGAAACTTTTTCATGATGTATCTACTCAGCTAACAGAGTTGAACCTTTCTTTTGAGAGAGCAGTTTTGAAACACTCTTTTTGTGGAATATGCAAGTGGATATTTGTCTAGCTTTGAGGATTTCGTTGGAAACGGGATTACATATAAAAAGCAGACCCCAGCATTCACAGAAACTGTTTTTTGATGTTTGCATTCAAGTCACAGAGTTGAACATTCCTTTTCACAGAGCAGGTTTGAAACACTCTTTTTGTAGTATCTGGATGTGGACATTTGGAGCGCTTTCAGGCCTATGGTGAAAAAGGAAATATCTTCCCCTGAAAACTAGACAGAAGCATACTCAGAAACTTATTTGTGATGTGCGCCCTCAACTAACAGTGTTGAAACTTTCTGTTGATAGAGCAGTTTTGAAACACTCTTTTTGTAAAATCTGCAAAAATATATTTGGATAGCTTTGAGGATTTCGTTGGAAACGGGATTGTCTTCATATAAACTCTAGACAGAAGCATTCTCAGAAACTTCATTGGGATGTTTCAATTGAAGTCACAGTGTTGAACAGTCCCTTTCATAGAGCAGGTTTGAAACACTCTTTTTGTAGTATCTGGACGTGGACATTTGGAGCGCTTTCAGGCCTATGTTGACAAAGGAAATATCTTCCCATAAAAACAAGGCAGAAGCATTCTCTGAAACCGGTTTCTGAGGTGTGTCCTCAACTAACAGAGTTGAACATTTCTTTTGACAGAACAGTTTTCAAACACTCTTTTTGTGGAATCTGCAAGTGAATATTTGGCTGGCCTTGAGGATTTCGTTGGAAACGGGAATACTTATAAAAAGCAGACAGCAGCATTGTGAGAAACTTCTTTGTGATGTTTGCATTCAAGTCACAGAGTTCAAAGTTCAGTATCCTAGAGCAGGTTGGAAACACGCCTTTTGTCATATCTGGAAGTGTCCATTTGGAGCCCATTCAGGCTTGTGTTGAAAAAGGAAATATCTTCCCAAAGAAACCAGACAGAAGCATTCTCAGAAACTTATTTGTGATGTGTGTACTCAACTAACAGAATTCAACAATCGTTTTGAAGGAGCAGTTTTGAAACACTCTTTTTGTGGAATCTGCAAGTGCATATGTAGCTAGATTTGAGGATTTCGTTGGAAACGGGATTACATATAAAAAGCAGACAGCAGCATTCCCAGAAACTTCTTTGTGATGTTTCCATTGAAGTCACAGAGTTGAACATTCCCTTTCATAGAGCAGGTTTGAAACACACTTTTGTAGTATCTGGAAGTGGACATTTAGAGCGCTCTCAGGACTACGGTGAAAAAGGAAATATCTTCCAATAAAAGCTAGATAGAAGCAATGTCAGAAACTTTTTCATGATGTATCTACTCAGCTAACAGAGTTGAATCTTTCTTTTGAGAGAGCAGTTTTAAAACAGTCTTTTTGGGGAATATGCAAGTGGATATTAAGCCAGCTTGGAGGATTTCGTTGGAAACGGGAATCCATATAAAAAGCAGACAGCAGCATTCTCAGAAATTTCTTTGTGATGTTTGCATTGAAGTCCCAGATGTGAACATTCCCTTTCATAAAGCAGGTTTGAAACACGCCTTTTGTCATATCTGGAAGTTGTCCATTTGGAGGGCATTCCGGCTTGTGTTGACAAAGGAAATATCCTCCCATAAAAACTAGATAGAACATTCTCAGAAACTTATTTGTGATGTGTGTACTCAACTAACAGAATTGAACCATCGTTTTGAAAGAGCAGTTTTGAAACACTCCTTTTGTGGAATCTGCAAGTGGATATTTGTCTAGCTTTGAGGATTTCGTTGGAAACGGGATTACATATAAAAAGCAGACAGCAGCATTCCCAGAAACTTCTTTGTGATGTTTGCATTCAAGTCACTGAGTAGAACATTGCCTTTCATAGAGCAGGTTTGAAACACTCTTTTTGTAGTATCTGGATGTGGACATTTGGAGCGCTTTCAGGCCTATGGTGAAAAAGGAAATATCTTCCCCTGAAAACTACACAGAAGCATTCTCAGAAACTTATTTGTGATGTGCGCCCTCAACTAACAGTGTTGAACCTTTCTTTTGATAGAGCAGTTTTGAAACACCCTTTTTGTAAAATCTGCAAGAGGATATTTGGATAGCTTTGAGGATTTCGTTGGAAACGGGATTGTCTTCATATAAACTCTAGACAGAAGCATTCTCGAAAGCTTCATTGGGATGTTTCAATTGAAGTCACAGTGTTGAACAGTCCCTTTCATAGAGCAGGTTTGAAACACTCTTTTTGTAGTATCTGGATGTGGACATTTGGAGCGCTTTCAGGCCTATGGTGAAAAAGGAAGTATCTTCCCCTGAAAACTAGACAGAAGCATTCTCAGAAACTTATTTGTGATGTGCGCCCTCAACTAACAGTGTTGAACCTTTCTTTTGATAGGGCAGTTTTGAAGCACTCTTTGTGTAAAATCTGCAAGAGGATATTTGGATAGCTTTGAGGATTTCGTTGGAAACGGGATTGTCTTCATATAAACTCTAGACAGAAGCATTCTCAGTAACTTCATTGGGATGTTTCAATTGAAGTCACAGTGTTGAACAGTCCCTTTCATAGAGCAGGTTTGAGACACTCTTTTTGTGGTATCTGGAAGTGGACATTTGGAGCGCTGTCAGGACTACGGTGAAAAAGGAAATATCTTCCAATAAAAGCTAGATAGAAGCAATGTCAGAAAATTTGTCATGATGTATCTACTCAGCTAACAGAGTTGAACCTTTCTTTTGAGAGAGCAGTTTTGAAACACTCTTTTTGTGGAATCTGCAAGTGGATATTTGTCTAGATTTGAGGATTTCGTTGGAAACGGGATTACATATAAAAAGCAGACAGCAGCATTCCCAGAAACTTCTTTGTGATGTTTGCATTCAAGTCACAGTGTTGAACATTCCCTTTCATAGAGCAGGTTTGAAACACTCTTTTTGAAGAGTTTAGATGTGGACATTTGGATGCTTTCAGGCCTATGGTGAAAAAGGAAATATCTTCCCCTGAAAACTAGACAGAAGCATTCTCAGAATCTTATTTGTGATGTGCGCCCTCAACTAACAGTGTTGAAGCTTTCTTTTGATAGGGCAGTTTTGAAGCACTCTTTGTGTAAAATCTGCAAGAGGATATTTGGATAGCTTTGAGGATTTCGTTGGAAACGAGATTGTCTTCATATAAACTCTAGACAGAAGCATTCTCAGAAGCTTCATTGGGATGTTTCAATTGAAGTCACAGTGTTGAACAGTCCCTTTCATAGAGCAGGTTTGAAACACTCTTTTTGTAATATCTGGAAGTGGACATTTGGAGCGCTCTCAGGACTGCGGTGAAAAAGTAATTATCTTCCAATAAAAGCTAGATAGAAGCAATGTCAGAAACTTTTTCATGATGTATCTACTCAGCTAACAGAGTTGAACCTTTCTTTTGAGAGAGCAGTTTTGAAACACTCTTTTTGTGGAATCTGCAAGTGGATATGTGTCTAGCTTTGAGGATTTCGTTGGATACGGGATTACATATAAAAAGCAGACAGCAGCATTCCCAGAAACTTCTTTGTGATGTTTGTATTCAAGTCACAGAGTTGAACATTCCCTTTCATAGAGCAGGTATGAAACACTTTTTGTAGTATCTGGATGTGGACATTTGGAGCGCTTTCAGGCCTATGGTGAAAAAGGAAATATCTTCCCCTGAAAACTAGACAGAAGCATTCTCAGAAACTTATCTGTGATGTGCGCCCTCAACTAACAGTGTTGAACCTTTCTTTTGATAGAGCAGTTTTGAAACACTCTTTTTGTAAAATCTGCAAGAGGATATTTGGATAGCTTTGAGGATTTCGTTGGAAACGGGATTGTCTTCATATAAACTCTAGACAGAAGCATTCTCAGAAGCTTCATTGGGATGTTTCAATTGAAGTCACAGTGTTGAACAGTCCCTTTCATAGAGCAGGTTTGAAACACTCTTTTTGTAGTATCTGGAAGTGGACATTTGGAGCGCTCTCAGGACTACGGTGAAAAAGGAAATATCTTCCAATAAAAGCTACATAGGAGCAATGTCAGAAACTTTTTCATGATGTATCTACTCAGCTAACAGAGTTGAACCTTTCTTTTGAGAGAGCAGTTTTGAAACACTCTTTTTGTGGAATCTGCAAGTGGATATTTGTCTAGCTTTGAGGATTTCGTTGGAAACGGGATTACATATAAAAAGCAGTCAGCAGCATTCCCAGAAACTTCTTGGTGATGTTTGCATTCAAGTCACAGAGTTGAACATTCCCTTTCATAGAGCAGGTTTGAAACACTCTTTTTGTAGTATCTGGATGTGGACATTTGGAGCGCTTTCACGACTATGGTGAAAAAGGAAATATCTTCCCCTGAAAACTAGACAGAAGCATTCTCAGAAACTTATTTGTGATGTGCGCCCTCAACTAACAGTGTTGAACCTTTCTTTTGATAGAGCAGTTTTGAAACACTCTTTTTGTAAAATCTGCAAGAGGATATTTGGATAGCTTTGAGGATTTCGTTGGAAACGGGATTGTCTTCATATAAACTCTAGACAGAAGCATTCTCAGAAGCTTCATTGGGTTGTTTCAATTGAAGTCACAGTGTTGAACAGTCCCTTTCATAGAGCAGGTTTGAAACACTCTTTTTGTAGTATCTGGAAGTGGACATTTGGAGCGCTCTCAGGACTGCGGTGAAAAAGGAAATATCTTCCAATAAAAGCTAGATAGAAGCAATGTCAGAAACTTTTTCATGACGTATCTACTCAGCTAACAGAGTTGAACCTTTCTTTTGAGAGAGCAGTTTTGAAACACTCTTTTTGTGGAATCTGCAAGTGGATATTTGTTTAGCTTTGAGGATTTCGTTGGAAACGGGATTACATATAAAAACCAGACAGCAGCATTCCCAGTAACTTCTTTGTGATGTTTGCATTCAAGTCACAGAGTTGAACATTCCCTTTCATAGAGCAGGTTTGAAACACTTTTTTTGTAGTATCTGGATGTGGACATTTGGAGCGCTTGCAGGCCTACGGTGAAAAAGGAAATATCTTCCCCTGAAAACTAGAGAGAAGCATACTCAGAATCTTATTTGTGATGTGCGCCCTCAATTAACAGTGTTCAACCTTTCTTTTGATAGAGCAGTTTTGAAACACTCTTTTTGTAAAATCTGCAAGAGGATATTTGGATAGCTTTGAGGATTTCGTTGGAAACGGGATTGTCTTCATATAAACTCTAGACAGAAGCATTCTCAGAAGCTTCATTGGGATGTTTCAATTGAAGTCACAGTGTTGAACAGTCCCTTTCATAGAGCAGGTTTGAAACACTCTTTTTGTAGTATCTGGAAGTGGACATTTGGAGAGTTCTCAGGAATACGGTGAAAAAGGAAATATCTTCCAATAAAAGCTACATAGAAGCAATGTCAGAACCTTTTTCATGATGTATCTACTCAGCTAATAGAGTTGAACCTTTCTTTTGAGAGAGCAGTTTTGAAACACTCTTTTTGTGGAATCTGCAAGTGGATATTTGTCTAGCTTTGAGGATTTCGTTGGAAACGGGATTACATATAAAAAGCAGACAGCAGCATTCCCAGAAACTTCTTTGTGATGTTTGCATTCAAGTCACAGAGTTGAACATTCCCTTTCATAGAGCAGATTTGAAACACACTTTTTGTAGTATCTGTATGTGGACATTTGGAGCGCTTTCAGGCCTATGGTGAAAAAGGAAATATCTTCCCCTGAAAACTAGACAGAAGCATTCTCAGAATCTTATTTGTGATGTGCGCCCTCCACTAACAGTCTTGAAGCTTTCTTTTGATAGAGCAGTTTTGAAACACTCTTTTTGTAAAATCTGCAAGAGGATATTTGGATAGCTTTGAGGATTTCGTTGGAAACGGGATTGTCTTCATATAAACCCTAGACAGAAGCATTCTCACAAGCTTCATTGGGATGTTTCAATTGAAGTCACAGTGTTGAACAGTCCCTTTCATAGAGCAGGTTTGAAACACTCTTTTTGTAGTATCTGGAAGTGGACATTTGGAGCGCTCTCAGGACTGCGGTGAAAAAGGAATTATCTTCCAATAAAAGCTAGATAGAAGCAATGTCAGAAACTTTTTCATGATGTATCTACTCAGCTAACAGAGTTGAACCTTTCTTTTGAGAGAGCAGTTTTGAAACACTCTTCTTGTGGAATCTGCAAGTGGATATTTGTCTAGCTTTGAGGATTTCGTTGGAAACGGGATTACATATAAAAAGCAGACAGCAGCATTCCCAGAAACTTCTTTGTGATATTTGCATTCAAGTCACAGAGTTGAACATTCCCTTTCATAGAGCAGGTTTGAAACACTCTTTTTGTAGTATCTGGATGTGGACATTTGGAGCGCTGTCAGGCCTATGGTGAAAAAGGAAATATCTTCCCCTGAAAACTAGACAGAGGCATTCTCAGAATCTTATTTGCGATGTGCGCCCTCAACTAACAGTGTTGAAGCTTTCTTTTGCTAGAGCAGTTTTTAAACACTCTTTTTGTAAAATCTGCAAGAGGATATTTGGATAGCTTTGAGGATTTCGTTGGAAACGGGAATGTCTTCATATAAACTCTAGACAGAAGCATTCTCAGAAGCTTCATTGGGTTGTTTCAATTGAAGTCACAGTGTTGAACAGTCCCTTTCATAGAGCAGGTTTGAAACAGTCTTTTTGTAGTATCTGGAAGTAGACATTTGGAGCACTCTCAGGACTACGGTGAAAAAGGAATTATCTTCCAATAAAAGCTAGATAGAAGCAATGTCAGAAACTTTTTCATGATGTATCTACTCAGCTAACAGAGTTGAACCTTTCTTTTGAGAGAGCAGTTTTGAAACACTCTTTTTGTGGAATCTGCAAGTGGATATTTGTCTAGCTTTGAGGATTTCGTTGGAAACGGGATTACATATAAAAAGCAGACAGCAGCATTCCCAGTAAATTCTTTGTGATGTTTGCATTCAAGTCACAGAGTTGAACATTCCCTTTCATAGAGCAGGTTTGAAACACTTTTTTTGTAGTATCTGGATGTGGACATTTAGAGCGCTTTCAGGCCTATGGTGAAAAAGGAAATATCTTCCCCTGAAAACTAGACAGAAGCATTCTCAGAATCTTATTTGTGATGTGCGCCCTCAACTAACAGTGTTGAACCTTTCTTTTGATAGAGCAGTTTTGAAACACTCTTTTTGTAAAATCTGCAAGAGGATATTTGGATAGCTTTGAGGATTTCGTTGGAAACGGGATTGTCTTCATATAAACTCTAGACAGAAGCATTCTCAGAAGCTTCATTGGGATGTTTCAATTGAAGTCACAGTGTTGAACAGTCCCTTTCATAGAGCAGGTTTGAAACACTCTTTTTGTAGTATCTGGAAGTGGACATTTGGAGAGTTCTCAGGACTACGGTGAAAAAGGAAATATCTTCCAAATAAAGCTAGATAGAAGCAATGTCAGAATCTTTTTCATGATGTATCTACTCAGCTAACAGAGTTGAACCTTTCTTTTGAGAGAGCAGTTTTGAAACACTCTTTTTGTGGAATCTGCAAGTGGATATTTGTCTAGCTTTGAGGATTTCGTTGGAAACGGGATTACATATAAAAAGCAGACAGCAGCATTCCCAGAATCTTCTTTGTGATGTTTGCATTCAAGTCACAGAGTTGAACATTCCCTTTCATAGAGCAGATTTGAAACACTCTTTTTGTAGTATCTGGATGTGGACATTTGGAGCGCTTTCAGGCCTATGGTGAAAAAGGAAATATCTTCTCCTGAAAACTAGACAGAAGCATTCTCAGAATCTTATTTGTGATGTGCGCCCTCAACTAACAGTGTTGAAGCTTTCTTTTGATAGAGCAGTTTTGAAACACTCTTTTTGTAAAATCTGCAAGAGGATATTTGGATAGCTTTGAGGATTTCGTTGGAAACGGGTTTGTCTTCATTTAAACTCTAGACGGAAGCATTCTCAGAAGCTTCATTGGGATATTTCAATTGAAGTCACAGTGTTGAACAGTCCCTTTCATAGAGCAGGTGTGAAACACTCTTTTTGTAGTATCTGGAAGTGGACATTTGGAGCGCTCTTAGGACTACGGTGAAAAAGGAAATATCTTCCAATAAAAGCTAGATAGAAGCAATGTCAGAAACTTTTTCATGATGTATCTACTCAGCTAACAGAGTTGAACCTTTCTTTTGAGAGAGCAGTTTTGAAACACTCTTTTTGTGGAATCTGCAAGTGGATATTTGTCTAGCTCTGAGGATTTCGTTGGAAACGGGATTACATATAAAAAGCAGACAGCAGCATTCCCAATAACTTCTTTGTGATGTTTGCATTCAAGTCACAGAGTTGAACATTCCCTTTCATAGAGCAGGTTTGAATCACTCTTTTTGTAGTATCTGGATGTGGACATTTGGAGCGATTTCAGGCCTATGGTGAAAAAGGAAATATCTTCCCCTGAAAACTAGACAGAAGCATTCTCAGAATCTTATTTGCAATGTGCGCCCTCAACTAACAGTGTTGAAGCTTTCTTTTGCTAGAGCAGTTTTGAAACACTCTTTTTGTAAAATCTGCAAGAGGATATTTGGATAGCTTTGAGGATTTCGTTGAAAACGGGATTGTCTTCATATAAACTCTAGACAGAAACATTCTCAGAAGCTTCATTGGGATGTTTCAATTGAAGTCACAGTGTTGAACAGTCCCTTTCATAGAGCAGGTTTGAAACACTCTTTTTGTAGTATCTGGAAGTGGATATTTGGAGCGCTCTCAGGACTACGGTGTAAAAGGAAATATCTTCCAATAAAAGCTACATAGAAGCAATGTCAGAAACTTTTTCATGATGTATCTACTCAGCTAACAGAGTTGAACCTTTCTTTTGAGAGAGCAGTTTTGAAACACTCTTTTTGTGGAATCTGCAAGTGGATATTTGTCTAGCTTTGAGGATTTCGTTGGAAACGGGATTACATATAAAAAGCAGTCAGCAGCATTCCCAGAAACTTCTTTGTGATGTTTGCATTCAAGTCACAGAGTTGAACATTCCCTTTCATAGAACAGGTTTGAAACACTCTTTTTGTACTATCTGGATGTGGACATTTGGAGCGCTTTCACGCCTAAGGTGAAAAAGGAAATATCTTCCCCTGAAAACTAGACAGAAGCATTCTCAGAAACTTATTTGTGATGTGCGCCCTCAACTAACAGTGTTGAAGCTTTCTTTTGATAGAGCAGTTTTGAAACACTCTTTTTGTAAAATCTGAAAGACGATATTTGGATAGCTTTGAGGATTTCGTTGGAAACAGGATTGTCTTCATATAAACTCTAGACAGAATCATTCTCAGAAGCTTCATTGGGATGTTTCAAATGAAGTCACAGTGTTGAACAGTCCCTTTCATAGAGCAGGTTTGAAACACTCTTTTTGTAGTATCTGGAAGTGGACATTTGGAGCGCTCTCAGGACTACCGTGAAAAAGGAATTATCTTCCAATAAAAGCTAGATAGAAGCAATGTCAGAAACTTTTTCATGATGTATCTACTCAGCTAACAGAGTTGAACCTTTCTTTTGAGAGAGCAGTTTTGAAACACTCTTTTTGTGGAATCTGCAAGTGGATATTTGTCTAGCTTTGAGGATTTCGTTGGAAACGGGATTACATATAAAAAGCAGACAGCAGCATTCCCAGAAACTTCTTTGTGATGTTTGCATTCAAGTCACAGAGTTGAACATTCCCTTTCATAGAGCAGGTTTGAAACACTTTTTTTGTAGTATCTGGATGTGGACATTTGGAGCGCATTCATGCCTATGGTGAAAAAGGAAATATCTTCCCCTGAAAACTAGACAGAAGCATTCTCAGAATCTTATTTGTGATGTGCGCCCTCAACTAACAGTGTTGAAGCTTTCTTTTGATAGAGCAGTTTTGAAACACTCTTTTTGAAAAATCTGCAAGAGGATATTTGGATAGCTTTGAGGATTTCGTTGGAAACGGGATTGTCTTCATATAAACTCTAGACAGAAGCATTCTCAGAAGCTTCATTGGGATGTTTCAATTGAAGTCACAGTGTTGAACAGTCCCTTTCATAGAGCAGGTTTGAAACACTCTTTTTGTAGTATCTGGAAGTGGACATTTGGAGCGCTCTCAGGACTGCGGTGAAAAAGGAATTATCTTCCAATAAAAGCTAGATAGAAGCAATGTCAGAAACTTTTTCATGATGTATCTACTCAGTTAACAGAGTTGAACCTTTCTTTTGAGAGAGCAGTTTTGAAACACTCTTTTTGTGGAATCTGCAAGTGGATATTTGTCTAGCTTTGAGGATTTCGTTGGAAACGGGATTACATATAAAAAGCAGTCAGCAGCATTCCCAGAAACTTCTTTGTGATGTTTGCATTCAAGTCACAGAGTTGAACATTCCCTTTCATAGAGCAGGTTTGAAACACTCTTTTTGTAGTATCTGGATGTGGACATTTGGAGCGCTTTCAGGCCTATGGTGAAAAAGGAAATATCTTCCCCTGAAAACTAGACAGAAGCATTCTCAGAATCTTATTTCTGATGTGCGCCCTCAACTAACAGTGTTGAACCTTTCTTTTGATAGAGCAGTTTTGAAACACTCTTTTTGTAAAATCTGCAAGAGGATATTTGGATAGCTTTGAGGATTTCTTTGGAAACGGGATTGTCTTCATATAAACTCTAGACAGAAGCATTCTCAGAAGCTTCATTGGGATGTTTCAATTGAAGTCACAGTGTTGAACATTCCCTTTCATAGAGCAGGTTTGAAACAATCTTTTTGTAGTATCTGGATGTGGACATTTGGAGCGCTTTCAGGCCTAAGGTGAAAAAGGAAATATCTTCCCCTGAAAACTAGACAGAAGCATTCTCAGAAACTTATTTGTGATGTGCGCCCTCAACTAACAGTGTTGAAGCTTTCTTTTGATAGAGCAGTTTTGAAACTCTCTTTTTGTGGAATCTGCAAGTGGATATTTGTCTAGCTTTGAGGATTTCGTTGGAAACGGGATTACATATAAAAAGCAGACAGCAGCATTCCCAGAATCTTGTTTGTGATGTTTGCATTCAAGTCACAGTGTTGAACATTCCCTTTCAGAGACCAGGTTTGAAACACTCTTTTTATAGAATCTGGATGTGGACATTTGGAGCGCTTTCAGGCCTATGGTGAAAAAGGAAATATCTTCCCCTGAAAACTAGACAGAAGCATTCTCAGAATCTTATTTGTGATGTGCGCCCTCAACTAACAGTGATGAAGCTTTCTTTTGATAGAGCAGTTTTGAAACACTCTTTTTGTAAATTCTGCAAGAGGATATTTGGATATCTCTGAGGATTTCGTTGGAAACGGGATTGTCTTCATATAAACTCTAGACAGAAGCATTCTCAGAAGCTTCATTGGGATGTTTCAATTGAAGTCACAGTGTTGAACAGTCCCTTTCATAGAGCAGGTTTGAAACACTCTTTTTGTAGTATCTGGAAGTGGACATTTGGAGCGCTCTCAGGACTACGGTGAAAAAGGAAATATCTTCCAATAAAAGCTAGATAGAAGCAATGTCGGAAACTTTTTCATGATGTATCTACTCAGCTAACAGAGTTGAACCTTTCCTTTGAGAGAGCAGTTTTGAAACACTCTTTTTGTGGAATCTGCAAGTGGATATTTGTCTAGATTTGAGGATTTCGTTGGAAACGGGATTACATGTAAAAAGCAGACAGCAGCATTCCCAGAAACTTCTTTGTGATGTTTGCATTCAAGTGTCAGAGTTGAACATTCCCTTTCATAGAGCAGGTTTGAAACACTCTTTTTGTAGTATCTGGATGTGGACATTTGGAGCGCTTTCAGGCCTATGGTGAAAAAGGAAATATCTTCCCCTGAAAACTAGACAGAAGCATTCTCAGAATCTTATTTGTGATGTGCGCCCTCAACTAACAGAGTTGAAGCTTTCTTTTGATAGAGCAGTTTTGAAACACTCTTTTTGTAAAATCTGCAAGAGGATATTTGGATAGCTTTGAGGATTTCGTTGGAAACGGGATTGTCTTCATATAAACTCTAGACAGAAGCATTCTCAGAAGCTTCATTGGGATGTTTCAATTGAAGTCACAGTGTTGAACAGTCCCTTTCATAGAGCAGGTTTGAAACACTCTTTTTGTAGTATCTGGAAGTGGACATTTGGAGAGATCTCAGGAATACGGTGATAAAGGAAATATCTTCCAATAAAAGGTAGATAGAAGCAATGTCAGAAACTTTTTCATGATGTATCTACTCAGCTAAAAGAGTTGAACCTTTCTTTTGAGAGAGCAGTTTTGAAACACTCTTTTTGTGGAATCTGCAAGTGGATATTTGTCTAGCTTTGAGGATTTCGTTGGAAACGGGATTACATATAAAAAGCAGACAGCAGCATTCCCAGAAACTTCTTTGTGATGTTTGCATTCAAGTCACAGAGTTGAACATTCCCTTTCATAGAGCAGGTTTGAAACACTCTTTTTGTAGTATCTGGATGTGGACATTTGGAGCGCTTTCAGGCCTATGGTGAAAAAGGAAATATCTTCCCCTGAAAACTAGACAGAAGCATTCTCAGAATCTTATTTGTGATGTGCGCCCTCAACTAACAGTGTTGAAGCTTTCTTTTGATAGAGCAGTTTTGAAACACTCTTTTTGTAATATCTGCAAGAGGATATTTGGATAGCTTTGAGGATTTCTTTGGAGACGGGATTGTCTTCATATAAACTCTAGACAGAAGCATTCTCAGAAGCTTCATTGGGATGTTTCAATTGAAGTCACAGTGTTGAACAGTCCCTTTCATAGAGCAGGTTTGAAACACTCTTTTTGTAGTATCTGGAATTGGACATTTGGAGCGCTCTCCGGACTACGGTGAAAAAGGAAATATCTTCCAATAAAAGCTACATAGAAACAATGTCAGAAACTTTTTCATGATGTATCTACTCAGCTAACAGAGTTGAACCTTTCTTTTGAGAGAGCAGTTTTGAAACACTCTTCTTGTGGAATCTGCAAGTGGATATTTGTCTAGCTTTGAGGATTTCGTTGGAAACGGGATTACATATAAAAAGCAGACAGCAGCATTCCCAGAAACTTCTTTGTGATGTTTGCATTCAAGTCACAGAGTTGAACATTCCCTTTCATAGAGCAGGTTTGAAACACTCTTTTTGTAGTATCTGGATGTGGACATTTGGAGCGCTTTCAGGCCTATGGTGAAAAAGGAAATATCTTCCCCTGAAAACTAGACAGAAGCATTCTCAGAATCTTATTTGTGATGTGCGCCCTCAACTAACAGTGTTGAAGCTTTCTTTTGATAGAGCAGTTTTGAAACACTCTTTTTGTAAACTCTGCAAGAGGATATTTGGATAGCTTTGAGGATTTCGTTGGAAACGGGATTGTCTTCATATAAACTCTAGACAGAAGCATTCTCAGAAGCTTCATTGGGATGTTTCTATTGAAGTCACAGTGTTGAACAGTCCCTTTCATAGAGCAGGTTTGAAACACTCTTTTTGTAGTATCTGGAACTGGACATATGGAGAGATCTCAGGAATATGTTGATAAAGGAAATATCTTCCAACAAAAGCTAGATAGAAGCAATGTCAGAAACTTTTTCATGATGTATCTACTCAGCTAACAGAGTTGAACCTTTCTTTTGAGAGTGCAGTTTTGGAACACTCTTTTTGTGGAATCTGCAAGTGGATATTTGTCTAGCTTTGAGGATTTCGTTGGAAACGGGATTACATATAAAAAGCAGACAGCAGCATTCCCAGAAATTTCTTTGTGATGTTTGCATTCAAGTCACAGAGTTGAACATTGCCTTTCATAGAGCAGGTTTGAAACACTCTTTTTGTAGTATCTGGATGTGGACATTTGGAGCGCTTTCAGGCCTATGGTGAAAAAGGAAATATCTTCCCCTGAAAACTAGACAGAAGCATTCTCAGAATCTTATTTGTGATGTGCGCCCTCAACTATCAGTGTTGAAGCTTTCTTTTGATAGAGCAGTTTTGAAACACACTTTTTGTAAAATCTGCAAGAGGATATTTGGATAGCTTTGAGGATTTCGTTGGAAACGGGATTGTCTTCATATAAACTCTAGACAGAAGCATTCTCAGAAGCTTCATGGGATGTTTCAATTGAAGTCACAGTGTTGAACAGTCCCTTTCATAGAGCTGGTTTGAAACACTCTTTTTGTTGTATCTGGATGTGGACATTTGGAGAGATCTCAGGAATACGGTGATAAAGGAAATATCTTCCAATAAAAGCTAGATAGAAGCAATGTCAGAAACTTTTTCATGATGTATCTACTCAGCTAACAGAGTTGAACCTTTCTTTTGAGAGAGCAGTTTTGGAACACTCTTTTTGTGGAATCTGCAAGTGGATATTTGTCTAGCTTTGAGGATTTCGTTGGAAACGGGATTACATATAAAAAGCAGACAGCAGCATTCCCAGAAATTTCTTTGTGATGTTTGCATTCAAGTCACAGAGTTGAACATTCCCTTTCATAGAGCAGGTTTGAAACAATCTTTTTGTAGTATCTGGAATTGGACATTTGGAGAGATCTCAGGAATACGGTGATAAAGGAAATATCTTCCAATAAAAGCTAGATAGAAGCAATGTCAGAAACTTTTTCATGATGTATCTACTCAGCTAACAGAGTTGAAACTTTCTTTTGAGAGAGCAGTTTTGAAACACTCTTTTTGTGGAATCTGCAACTGGATATTTGTCTAGCTTTGAGGATTTCGTTGGAAACGGGATTACATATAAAAAGCAGACAGCAGCATTCCCAGAAATTTCTTTGTGATGTTTGCATTCAAGTCACAGAGTTGAACATTCCCTTTCATAGAGCAGGTTTGAAACACTCTTTTTGTAGTATCTGGATGTGGACATTTGGAGCGCTTTCAGACCTATGGTGAAAAAGGAAATATCTTCCCCTGAAAGCTAGACAGAAGCATTCTCAGAATCTTATTTGTGATGTGCGCCCTCAACTAACAGTGTTGAAGCTTTCTTTTGATAGAGCAGTTTTGAAACACTCTTTTTGTAAAATCTGCAGAGGATATTTGGATAGCTTTGAGGATTTCGTTGGAAACGGGATGGTCTTCATACAAAATCTAGACAGAAGCATTCTCAGAAGCTTCATTGGGATGTTTCAATTGAAGTAACAGTGTTGAACAGTCCCTTTCATAGAGCAGGTTTGAAACACTCTTTTTGTAGTATCTGGAAGTGGACGTTTGGAGAGTTCTCAGGAATACGGTGATAAAGGAAATATCTTCCAATAAAAGCTAGATAGAAGCAATGTCAGAAACTTTTTCATGATGTATCTACTCAGCTAACAGAGTTGAACCTTTCTTTTGAGAGAGCAGTTTTGAAACACTCTTTTTCTGGAATCTGCAAGCGGATATTTTTCTAGCTTTGAGGATTTCGTTGGAAACGGGATTACCTATAAAAAGCAGACAGCAGCATTCCCAGAAACTTCTTTGTGATGTTTGCATTCAAGTCACAGAGTTGAACATTGCCTTTCATAGAGCAGGTTTGAAACACTCTTTTTGTAGTATCTGGATGTGGACATTTGGAGCGCTTTCAGGCCTATGGTGAAAAAGGAAATATCTTCCCCTGAAAACTAGACAGAAGCATTCTCAGAATCTTATTTGTGATGTGTGCCCTCAACTATCAGTGTTGAAGCTTTCTTTTGATAGAGCAGTTTTGAAACACACTTTTTGTAAAATCTGCAAGAGGATATTTGGATAGCTTTGAGGATTTCGTTGGAAACGGTATTGTCTTCATATAAACTCTAGACAGAAGCATTCTCAGAAGCTTCATTGGGATGTTTCAATTGAAGTCACAGTGTTGAACAGTCCCTTTCATAGAGCAGGTTTGAAACACTCTTTTTGTAGTATCTGGAAGTGGACATGTGGAGAGATCTCAGGAATACGGTGATAAAGGAAATATCTTCCAATAAAAGCTAGATAGAAGCAATGTCAGAAACTTTTTCATGATGTATCTACTCAGCTAACAGAGTTGAACCTTTCTTTTGAGAGAGCAGTTTTGAAACACTCTTTTTGTGGAATCTGCAAGCGGATATTTTTCTAGCTTTGAGGATTTCGTTGGAAACGGGATTACATATAAAAAGCAGACAGCAGCATTCCCAGAAACTTCTTTGTGATGTTTGCATTCAAGTCACAGAGTTGAACATTCCCTTTCATAGAGCAGGTTTGAAACACTCTTTTTGTAGTATCTGGATGTGGACATTTGGAGCGCTTTCAGGCCTATGGTGAAAAAGGAAATATCTTCCTCTGAAAACTAGACAGAAGCATTCTCAGAAACTTATTTGTGATGTGCGCCCTCAACTAACAGTGTTGAAGCTTTCTTTTCATAGAGCAGTTTTGAAAAACTCTTTTTGTGGAATCTGCAAGTGGATATTTGTCTAGCTTTGAGGATTTCGTTGGAAACGTGATTACATATAAAAAGCAGACAGCAGCATTCCCAGAAACTTCTTTGTGATGTTTGCATTCAAGTCACAGAGTTGAACATTCCCTTTCATAGAGCAGGTTTGAAACACTCTTTTTGTAGTATCTGGATGTGGACATTTGGAGCGCTTTCAGGCCTGTGGTGAAAAAGGAAATATCTTCCCCTGAAAACTAGACAGAAGCATTCTCAGAATCTTATTTGTGATGTGCGCCCTCAACTAACAGTGTTGAAGCTTTCTTTTGATAGAGCAGTTTTGAAACACTCTTTTTCTAAAATCTGCAAGAGGATATTTGGATAGCTTTGAGGATTTCGTTGGAAACGGGATTGTCTTCATATAAACTCTAGACAGAAGCATTCTCAGAAGCTTCATTGGGATGTTTCAATTGAAGTCACAGTGTTGAACAGTCCCTTTCATAGAGCAGGTTTGAAACACTCTTTTTGTAGTATCTGGAAGTGGACATTTGGAGAGATCTCAGGACTACGGTGAAAAAGGAAATAGCTTCCAATAAAAGCTAGATAGAAGCAATGTCAGAAACTTTTTCATGATGTGTCTACTCAGCTAACAGAGTTGAACCTTTCTTTTGAGAGAGCAGTTTTGAAACACTCTTTTTGTGGAATCTGCAAGTGGATATTTGTCTAGCTTTGAGGATTTCGTTGGAAACGGGATTACATATAAAAAGCAGACAGCAGCATTCCCAGAAACTTCTTTGTGATGTTTGCATTCAAGTCACAGAGTTGAACATTCCCTTTCATAGAGCAGGTTTGAAACACTCTTTTTGTAGTATCTGGATGTGGACATTTGGAGCGCTTTCAGGCCTATGGTGAAAAAGGAAATATCTTCCCCTGAAAACTAGACAGAAGCATTCTCAGAATCTTATTTGTGATGTGCGCCCTCAATTAACAGTGTTGAAGCTTTCTTTTGATAGAGCAGTTTTGAACCACTCTTTTTGTAAAATCTGCAAGAGGATATTTGGATAGCTTTGAGGATTTCGTTGGAAACGGGATTGTCTTCATATAAACTCTAGACAGAAGCATTCTCAGAAGCCTCATTGGGATGTTTCAATTGAAGTCACAGTGTTGAACAGTCCCTTTCATAGAGCAGGTTTGAAACACTCTTTTTGTAGTATCTGGATGTGGACATTTGGAGCGCTTTCAGGCCTACGGTGAAAAAGGAAATATCTTCCCCTGAAAACTAGACAGAAGCATTCTCAGAAACTTATTTGTGATGTGCGCCCTCAACTAACAGTGTTGAAGCTTTCTTTTGATAGAGCAGTTTTGAAACACTCTTTTTGTGGAATCTGCAAGTGGATATTTGTCTAGCTTTGAGGATTTCGTTGGAAACGGGATTACATATAAAAAGCAGACAGCAGCATTCCCAGAAACTTCTTTGTGATGCTTGCATTCAAGTCACAGAGTTAAACATTCCCTTTCATAGAGCAGGTTTGAAACACTCTTTTTGTAGTATCTGGATGTGGACATTTGGAGCACTTTCAGGCCTATGGTGAAAAAGGAAATATCTTCCCCTGAAAACTAGACAGAAGCATTCTCAGAATCTTATTTGTGATGTGCGCCCTCAACTAACAGTGTTGAAGCTTTCTTTTGATAGAGCAGTTTTGAAACACTCTTTTTGTAAAATCTGCAAGAGGATATTTGGATAGCTTTGAGGATTTCGTTGGAAACGGGATTGTCTTCATACAAACTCTAGACAGAAGCATTCGCAGAAGATTCATTGGAATGTTTCAATTGAAGTCACAGTTTTGAACAGTCCCTTTCATAGAGCAGGTTTGAAACACTCTTTTTGTAGTATCTGGAAGTGGACATTTGGAGCGCTCTCAGGACTATGGCGAAAAAGGAAATATCTTCCAATAAAAGCTACATAGAAGCAATGTCAGAAACTTTTTCATGATGTATCTACTCAGCTAACAGAGTTGAACCTTTCTTTTGAGAGAGCAGTTTTGAAACACTCTTTTTGTGGAATCTGCAAGTGGATATTTGTCTAGCTTTGAGGATTTCGTTGGAAACGGGATTACATATAAAAAGCAGACAGCAGCATTCCCAGTATCTTCTTTGTGATGTTTCCATTCAAGTGACAGAGTTGAACATTCCCTTTCATAGAGCAGGTTTGAAACACTCTTTTTGTAGTATCTGGATGTGGACATTTGGAGCGCTTTCAGGCCTATGGTGAAAAAGGAAATATCTTCCCCTGAAAACTAGACAGAAGCATTCTCAGAATCTTATTTGTGATGTGCGCCCTCAACTAACAGTGTTGAAGCTTTCTTTTGATAGAGCACTTTTGAAACACTCCTTTTGTAAAATCTGCAAGAGGATATTTGGATAGCTTTGAGGATTTCGTTGGAAACGGGATTGTCTTCATATAAACTCTAGACAGAAGCATTCTCAGAAGCTTCATTGGGATGTTTCAATTGAAGTCACAGTGTTGAACAGTCCCTTTCATAGAGCAGGTTTGAAACACTCTTTTTGTAGTATCTGGATGTGGACATTTGGAGCGCTTTCAGGCCTATGGTGAAAAAGGAAATATCTTCCCCTGAAAACTAGACAGAAGCATTCTCAGAAACTTATTTGTGATGTGCGCCCTCAACTAACAGTGTTGAAGCTTTCTTTTGATAGAGCAGTTTTGAAACACTCTTTTTGTGGAATCTGCAAGTGGATATTTGTCTAGCTTTGAGGATTTCGTTGGAAACGGGATTACATATAAAAAGCAGACAGCAGCATTCCCAGAATCTTCTTTGTGATGTTTGCATTCAAGTCCCAGAGTTGAACATTCCGTTTCATGGAGCAGGTTTGAAACACTCTTTTTATAGTATCTGGATGTGGACATTTGGAGCGCTTTCAGGCCTATGGTGAAAAAGGAAATATCTTCTCCTGAAAACAAGACAGAAGCATTCTCAGAATCTTATTTGTGATGTGCGCCCTCAGCTAACAGTGTTGAAGCTTTCTTTTGATAGAGCAGTTTTGAAACACTCTTTTTGTAAAATCTGCAAGAGGATATTTGGATAGCTTTGAGGATTTCGTTGGAAACGGGATTGTCTTCATATAAACTCTAGACAGAAGCATTCTCAGAAGCCTCATTGGGATGTTTCAATTGAAGTCACAGTGTTGAAAAGTCCCTTTCATAGAGCAGGTTTGAAACACTCTTTTTGTAGTATCTGGAAGTGGACATTTGGAGCGCTCTCAGGACTACGGTGAAAAAGGAAATATCTTCCAATAAAAGCTACATAGAAGCAATGTCAGAAACTTTTTCATGATGTATCTACTCAGCTAACAGAGTTGAAACTTTCTTTTTAGAGAGCAGTTTTGAAACACTCTTTTTGTGGAATCTGGAAGTGGATATTTGTCTAGCTTTGAGGATTTCGTTGGAAACGGGATTACATATAAAAAGCAGACAGCAGCATTCCCAGTAACTTCTTTGTGATGTTTGCATTCAAGTCACAGAGTTGAACATTCCTTCTCATAGAGCAGGTTTGAAACACTCTTTTTGTAGTATCTGGATGTGGACATTTGGAGCGCTTTCAGGCCTATGGTGAAAAAGGAAATATCTTCCCCTGAAAACTAGACAGAAGCATTCTCAGAATCTTATTTGTGATGTGCGCCCTCAACTAACAGTGTTGAAGCTTTCTTTTGATAGAGCAGTTTTGAAACACTCTTTTTGTAAAATCTGCAAGAGGATATTTGGATAGCTTTGAGGATTTCGTTGGAAACGGGATTGTCTTCATATAAACTCTAGACAGAAGCATTCACAGAAGCCTCATTCGGATGTTTCAATTGAAGTCACAGTGTTGAACAGTCCCTTTCATAGAGCAGGTTTGAAACACTCTTTTTGTAGTATCTGGATGTGGACATTTGGAGCGCTTTCAGGCCTATGGTGAAAAAGGAAATATCTTCCCCTGAAAACTAGACAGAAGCATTCTCAGAATCTTATTTGTGATGTGCGCCCTCAACTAACAGTGTTGAAGCTTTCTTTTGATAGAGCACTTTTGAAACACTCTTTTTGTAAAATCTGCAAGAGGATATTTGGATAGCTTTGAGGATTTCGTTGGAAACGGGATTGTCTTCATATAAACTCTAGACAGAAGCATTCTCAGAAGCTTCATTGGGATGTTTCAATTGAAGTCACAGTGTTGAACAGTCCCTTTCATAGAGCAGGTTTGAAACACTCTTTTTGTAGTATCTGGATGTGGACATTTGGAGCGCTTTCAGGCCTATGGTGAAAAAGGAAATATCTTCCCCTGAAAACTAGACAGAAGCATTCTCAGAAACTTATTTGTGATGTGCGCCCTCAACTAACAGTGTTGAAGCTTTCTTTTGATAGAGCAGTTTTGAAACACTCTTTTTGTGGAATCTGCAAGTGGATATTTGTCTAGCTTTGAGGATTTCGTTGGAAACGGGATTACATATAAAAAGCAGACAGCAGCATTCCCAGAATCTTCTTTGTGATGTTTGCATTCAAGTCCCAGAGTTGAACATTCCGTTTCATAGAGCAGGTTTGAAACACTCTTTTTATAGTATCTGGATGTGGACATTTGGAGCGCTTTCAGGCCTATGGTGAAAAAGGAAATATCTTCTCCTGAAAACAAGACAGAAGCATTCTCAGAATCTTATTTGTGATGTGCGCCCTCAGCTAACAGTGTTGAAGCTTTCTTTTGATAGAGCAGTTTTGAAACACTCTTTTTGTAAAATCTGCAAGAGGATATTTGGATAGCTTTGAGGATTTCGTTGGAAACGGGATTGTCTTCATATAAACTCTAGACAGAAGCATTCTCAGAAGCTTCATTGGGATGTTTCAATTGAAGTCACAGTGTTGAACAGTCCCTTTCATAGAGCAGGTTTGAAACACTCTTTTTGTAGTATCTGGAAGTGGA
Organism: Homo sapiens; assembly: GCF_000001405.40. Classification (NCBI taxonomy): domain Eukaryota; kingdom Metazoa; phylum Chordata; class Mammalia; order Primates; family Hominidae; genus Homo; species Homo sapiens. Next base: position 71,317 of record NT_187371.1, read on the forward strand.
CATTTGGAGAGATCTCAGGACTACGGTGAAAAAGGAAATAGCTTCCAATAAAAGCTAGATAGAAGCAATGTCAGAAACTTTTTCATGATGTGTCTACTCAGCTAACAGAGTTGAACCTTTCTTTTGAGAGAGCAGTTTTGAAACACTCTTTTTGTGGAATCTGCAAGTGGATATTTGTCTAGCTTTGAGGATTTCGTTGGAAACGGGATTACATATAAAAAGCAGACAGCAGCATTCCCAGAAACTTCTTTGTGATGTTTGCATTCAAGTCACAGAGTTGAACATTCCCTTTCATAGAGCAGGTTTGAAACACTCTTTTTGTAGTATCTGGATGTGGACATTTGGAGCACTTTCAGGCCTATGGTGAAAAAGGAAATATCTTCCCCTGAAAACTAGACAGAAGCATTCTCAGAATCTTATTTGTGATGTGCGCCCTCAACTAACAGTGTTGAAGCTTTCTTTTGATAGAGCAGTTTTGAAACACTCTTTTTGTAAAATCTGCAAGAGGATATTTGGATAGCTTTGAGGATTTCGTTGGAAACGGGATTGTCTTCATATAAACTCTAGACAGAAGCATTCGCAGAAGATTCATTGGAATGTTTCAATTGAAGTCACAGTTTTGAACAGTCCCTTTCATAGAGCAGGTTTGAAACACTCTTTTTGTAGTATCTGGAAGTGGACATTTGGAGCGCTCTCAGGACTATGGCGAAAAAGGAAATATCTTCCAATAAAAGCTACATAGAAGCAATGTCAGAAACTTTTTCATGATGTATCTACTCAGCTAACAGAGTTGAACCTTTCTTTTGAGAGAGCAGTTTTGAAACACTCTTTTTGTGGAATCTGCAAGTGGATATTTGTCTAGCTTTGAGGATTTCGTTGGAAACGGGATTACATATAAAAAGCAGACAGCAGCATTCCCAGTAACTTCTTTGTGATGTTTCCATTCAAGTGACAGAGTTGAACATTCCCTTTCATAGAGCAGGTTTGAAACACTCTTTTTGTAGTATCTGGATGTGGACATTTGGAGCGCTTTCAGGCCTATGGTGAAAAAGGAAATATCTTCCCCTGAAAACTAGACAGAAGCATTCTCAGAATCTTATTTGTGATGTGCGCCCTCAACTAACAGTGTTGAAGCTTTCTTTTGATAGAGTACTTTTGAAACACTCTTTTTGTAAAATCTGCAAGAGGATATTTGGATAGCTTTGAGGATTTCGTTGGAAACGGGATTGTCTTCATATAAACTCTAGACAGAAGCATTCTCAGAAGCTTCATTGGGATGTTTCAATTGAAGTCACAGTGTTGAACAGTCCCTTTCATAGAGCAGGTTTGAAACACTCTTTTTGTAGTATCTGGATGTGGACATTTGGAGCGCTTTCAGGCCTACGGTGAAAAAGGAAATATCTTCCCCTGAAAACTAGACAGAAGCATTCTCAGAAACTTATTTGTGATGTGCGCCCTCAACTAACAGTGTTGAAGCTTTCTTTTGATAGAGCAGTTTTGAAACACTCTTTTTGTGGAATCTGCAAGTGGATATTTGTCTAGCTTTGAGGATTTCGTTGGAAACGGGATTACATATAAAAAGCAGACAGCAGCATTCCCAGAATCTTCTTTGTGATGTTTGCATTCAAGTCCCAGAGTTGAACATTCCGTTTCATAGAGCAGGTTTGAAACACTCTTTTTATAGTATATGGATGTGGACATTTGCAGCGCTTTCAGGCCTATGGTGAAAAAGGAAATATCTTCCCCTGAAAACTAGACAGAAGCATTCTCAGAATCTTATTTGTGATGTGCGCCCTCAGCTAACAGTGTTGAAGCTTTCTTTTGATAGAGCAGTTTTGAAACAGTCTTTTTGTAAAATCTGCAAGAGGATATTTGGATAGCTTTGAGGATTTCATTGGAAACGGGATTTTCTTCATATAAACTCAAGACAGAAGCATTCTCAGAAGCTTCATTGGGATGATTCAATTGAAGTCACAGTGTTGAAAAGTCCCTTTCATAGAGCAGGTTTGAAACACTCTTTTTGTAGTATCTGGAAGTGGACATTTGGAGCGCTCTCAGGACTACGGTGAAAAAGGAAATATCTTCCAATAAAAGCTACATAGAAGCAATGTCAGAAACTTTTTCATGATGTATCTACTCAGCTAACAGAGTTGAAACTTTCTTTTTAGAGAGCAGTTTTGAAACACTCTTTTTGTGGAATCTGGAAGTGCATATTTGTCTAGCTTTGAGGATTTCGTTGGAAACGGGATTACATATAAAAAGCAGACAGCAGCATTCCCAGTAACTTCTTTGTGATGTTTGCATTCAAGTCACAGAGTTGAACATTCCCTTTCATAGAGCAGGTTTGAAACACTCTTTTTGTAGTATCTGGATGTGGACATTTGGAGCGCTTTCAGCCCTATGGTGAAAAAGGGAATATCTTCCCCTGAAAACTAGACAGAAGCATTCTCAGAATCTTATTTGTGATGTGCGCCCTCAACTAACAGTGTTGAAGCTTTCTTTTGATAGAGCAGTTTTGAAACACTCTTTTTGTAAAATCTGCAAGAGGATATTTGGATAGCTTTGAGGATTTCGTTGGAAATGGGATTGTCTTCATATAAACTCTAGACAGAAGCATTCTCAGAAGCCTCATTGGGATGTTTCAATTGAAGTCACAGTGTTGAACAGTCCCTTTCATAGAGCAGGTTTGAAACACTCTTTTTGTAGTATCTGGATGTGGACATTTGGAGCGCTTTCAGGCCTATGGTGAAAAAGGAAATATCTTCCTCTGAAAACTAGACAGAAGCATTCTCAGAAACTTATTTGTGATGTGCGCAATCAACTAACAGTGTTGAAGCTTTCTTTTGATAGAGCAGTTTTGAAACACTCTTTTTGTGGAATCTGGAAGTGGATATTTGTCTAGCTTTGAGGATTTCGTTGGAAACGGGATTACATATAAAAAGCAGACAGCAGCATTCCCAGTAACTTCTTTGTGATGTTTGCATTCAAGTCACAGAGTTGAACATTCCCTTTCATAGAGCAGGTTTGAAACACTCTTTTTGTAGTATCTGGATGTGGACATTTGGAGCGCTTTCAGGCCTAAGGTGAAAAAGGAAATATCTTCCCCTGAAAACTAGACAGAAGCATTCTCAGAATCTTATTTGTGATGTGCGCCCTCAACTAACAGTGTTGAAACTTTCTTTTGATAGAGCAGTTTTGAAACACTCTTTTTGTAAAATCTGCAAGAGGATATTTCGATAGCTTTGAGGATTTCGTTGGAAACGGGATTGTCTTCATATAAACTCTAGACAGAAGCATTCTCAGAAGCTTCATTGGGATGTTTCAATTGAAGTCACAGTGTTGAACAGTCCCTTTCATAGAGCAGGTTTGAAACACTCTTTTTGTAGTATCTGGATGTGGACATTTGGAGCGCTTTCAGGCCTACGGTGAAAAAGGAAATATCTTCCCCTGAAAACTAGACAGAAGCATTCTCAGAAACTTATTTGTGATGTGCGCCCTCAACTAACAGTGTTGAAGCTTTCTTTTGATAGAGCAGTTTTGAAACACTCTTTTTGTGGAATCTGCAAGTGGATATTTGTCTAGCTTTGAGGATTTCGTTGGAAACGGGATTACATATAAAAAGCACACAGCAGCATTCCCAGAATCTTCTTTGTGATGTTTGCATTCAAGTCCCAGAGTTGAACATTCCCTTTCATAGAGCAGGTTTGAAACACTCTTTTTATAGTATCTGGATGTGGACATTTGGAGCGCTTTCAGGCCTATGGTGAAAAAGGAAATATCTTCTCCTGAAAACTAGACAGAAGCATTCTCAGAATCTTATTTGTGATGTGCGCCCACAGCTAACAGTGTTGAAGCTTTCTTTTGATAGAGCAGTTTTGAAACAGTCTTTTTGTGAAATCTGCAAGAGGATATTTGGATAGCTTTGAGGATTTCATTGGAAACGGGATTCTCTTCATATAAACTCTAGACAGAAGCATTCTCAGAAGCTTCATTGGGATGTTTCAATTGAAGTCACAGTGTTGAACAGTCCCTTTCATAGAGCAGGTTTGAAACACTCTTTTTGTAGTATCTGGAAGTGGACATTTGGAGTGCTCTCAGGACTACGGTGAAAAAGGAAATATCTTCCAATAAAAGCTACATAGAAGCAATGTCAGAAACTTTTTCATGATGTATCTACTCAGCTAACAGAGTTGAAACTTTATTTTGAGAGAGCAGTTTTGAAACACTCTTTTTGTGGAATCTGGAAGTGGATATTTGTCTAGCTTTGAGGATTTCGTTGGAAACGGGATTACATATAAAAAGCAGACAGCAGCATTCCCCGTAACTTCTTTGTGATGTTTGCATTCAAGTCACAGAGTTGAACATTCCCTCTCATAGAGCAGGTTTGAAACACTCTTTTTGTAGTATCTGGATGTGGACATTTGGAGCGCTTTCAGGCCTATGGTGAAAAAGGAAATATCTTCCCCTGAAAACTAGACAGAAGCATTCTCAGAATCTTATTTGTGATGTGCGCCCTCAACTAACAGTGTTGAAGCTTTCTTTTGATAGAGCAGTTTTGAAACACTCTTTTTGTAAAATCTGCAAGAGGATATTTGGATAGCTTTGAGGATTTCGTTGGAAACGGGATTGTCTTCATATAAACTCTAGACAGAAGCATTCACAGAAGCCTCATTGGGATGTTTCAATTGAAGTCACAGTGTTGAACAGTCCCTTTCATAGAGCAGGTTTGAAACACTCTTTTTGTAGTATCTGGATGTGGACATTTGGAGCGCTTTCAGGCCTATGGTGAAAAAGGAAATATCTTCCTCTGAAAACTAGACAGAAGCATTCTCAGAAACTTATTTGTGATGTGCGCCCTCAACTAACAGTGTTGAAGCTTTCTTTTCATAGAGCAGTTTTGAAAAACTCTTTTTGTGGAATCTGCAAGTGGATATTTGTCTAGCTTTGAGGATTTCGTTGGAAACGTGATTACATATAAAAAGCAGACAGCAGCATTCCCAGAAACTTCTTTGTGATGTTTGCATTCAAGTCACAGAGTTGAACATTCCCTTTCATAGAGCAGGTTTGAAACACTCTTTTTGTAGTATCTGAATGTGGACATTTGGAGCGCTTTCAGGCCTATGGTGTAAAAGGAAATATCTTCCCCTGAAAACTAGACAGAAGCATTCTCAGAATCTTATTTGTGATGTGCGCCCTCAACTAACAGTGTTGAAGCTTTCTTTTGATAGAGCAGTTTTGAAACACTCTTTTTCTAAAATCTGCAAGAGGATATTTGGATAGCTTTGAGGATTTCGTTGGAAACGGGATTGTCTTCATATAACCTCTAGACAGAAGCATTCTCAGAAGCTTCATTGGGATGTTTCAATTGAAGTCACAGTGTTGAACAGTCCCTTTCATAGAGCAGGTTTGAAACACTCTTTTTGTAGTATCTGGAAGTGGACATTTGGAGCGCTTTCAGGCCTATGGTGAAAAAGGAAATATCTTCCTCTGAAAACTAGACAGAAGCATTCTCAGAAACTTATTTGTGATGTGCGCCCTCAACTAACAGTGTTGAAGCTTTCTTTTGATAGAGCAGTTTTGAAACACTCTTTTTCTAAAATCTGCAAGAGGATATTTGTCTAGCTTTGAGGATTTCGTTGGAAACGGGATTACATATAAAAAGCAGACAGCAGCATTCCCAGAATCTTCTTTGTGATGTTTGCATTCAAGTCCCAGAGTTGAACATTCCGTTTCATAGAGCAGGTTTGAAACACTCTTTTTATAGTATCTGGATGTGGACATTTGGAGCGCTTTCAGGCCTATGGTGAAAAAGGAAATATCTTCTCCTGAAAACAAGACAGAAGCATTCTCAGAATCTTATTTGTGATGTGCGCCCTCAGCTAACAGTGTTGAAGCTTTCTTTTGATAGAGCAGTTTTGAAACAGTCTTTTTGTAAAATCTGCAAGAGGATATTTGGATAGCTTTGAGGATTTCATTGGAAACGGGATTTGCTTCATATAAACTCAAGACAGAAGCATTCTCAGAAGCTTCATTGGGATGATTCAATTGAAGTCACAGTGTTGAAAAGTCCCTTTCATAGAGCAGGTTTGAAACACTCTTTTTGTAGTATCTGGAAGTGGACATTTGGAGCGCTCTCAGGACTACGGTGAAAAAGGAAATATCTTCCAATAAAAGCTACATAGAAGCAATGTCAGAAACTTTTTCATGATGTATCTACTCAGCTAACAGAGTTGAAACTTTCTTTTTAGAGAGCAGTTTTGAAACACTCTTTTTGTGGAATCTGGAAGTGCATATTTGTCTAGCTTTGAGGATTTCGTTGGAAACGGGATTACATATAAAAAGCAGACAGCAGCATTCCCAGTAACTTCTTTGTGATGTTTGCATTCAAGTCACAGAGTTGAACATTCCCTTTCATAGAGCAGGTTTGAAACACTCTTTTTGTAGTATCTGGATGTGGACATTTGGAGCGCTTTCAGCCCTATGGTGAAAAAGGGAATATCTTCCCCTGAAAACTAGACAGAAGCATTCTCAGAATCTTATTTGTGATGTGCGCCCTCAACTAACAGTGTTGAAGCTTTCTTTTGATAGAGCAGTTTTGAAACACTCTTTTTGTAAAATCTGCAAGAGGATATTTGGATAGCTTTGAGGATTTCGTTGGAAACGGGATTGTCTTCATATAAACTCTAGACAGAAGCATTCTCAGAAGCCTCATTGGGATGTTTCAATTGAAGTCACAGTGTTGAACAGTCCCTTTCATGGAGCAGGTTTGAAACACTCTTTTTGTAGTATCTGGATGTGGACATTTGGAGCGCTTTCAGGCCTACGGTGAAAAAGGAAATATCTTCCCCTGAAAACTAGACAGAAGCATTCTCAGAAACTTATTTGTGATGTGCGCCCTCAACTAACAGTGTTGAAGCTTTCTTTTGATAGAGCAGTTTTGAAACACTCTTTTTGTGGAATCTGCAAGTGGATATTTGTCTAGCTTTGAGGATTTCGTTGGAAACGGGATTACATATAAAAAGCAGACAGCAGCATTCCCAGAATCTTCTTTGTGATGTTTGCATTCAAGTCCCAGAGTTGAACATTCCCTTTCATAGAGCAGGTTTGAAACACTCTTTTTATAGTATCTGGATGTGGACATTTGGAGCGCTTTCAGGCCTATGGTGAAAAAGGAAATATCTTCTCCTGAAAACTAGACAGAAGCATTCTCAGAATCTTATTTGTGATGTGCGCCCACAGCTAACAGTGTTGAAGCTTTCTTTTGATAGAGCAGTTTTGAAACAGTCTTTTTGTAAAATCTGCAAGAGGATATTTGGATAGCTTTGAGGATTTCATTGGAAACGGGATTCTCTTCATATAAACTCTAGACAGAAGCATTCTCAGAAGCTTCATTGGGATGTTTCAATTGAAGTCACAGTGTTGAACAGTCCCTTTCATAGAGCAGTTTTGAAACACTCTTTTTGTAGTATCTGGAAGTGGACATTTGGAGTGCTCTCAGGACTACGGTGAAAAAGGAAATATCTTCCAATAAAAGCTACATAGAAGCAATGTCAGAAACTTTTTCATGATGTATCTACTCAGCTAACAGAGTTGAAACTTTATTTTGAGAGAGCAGTTTTGAAACACTATTTTTGTGGAATCTGCAAGTGGATATTTGTCTAGCTTTGAGGATTTCGTTGGAAACGGGATTACATATAAAAAGCAGACAGCAGCATTCCCAGTAACTTCTTTGTGATGTTTGCATTCAAGTCACAGAGTTGAACATTCCCTCTCATAGAGCAGGTTTGAAACACTCTTTTTGTAGTATCTGGATGTGGACATTTGGAGCGCTTTCAGGCCTATGGTGAAAAAGGAAATATCTTCCCCTGAAAACTAGACAGAAGCATTCTCAGAATCTTATTTGTGATGTGCGCCCTCAACTAACAGTGTTGAAGCTTTCTTTTGATAGAGCAGTTTTGAAACACTCTTTTTGTAAAATCTGCAAGAGGATATTTGGATAGCTTTGAGGATTTCGTTGGAAACGGGATTGTCTTCATATAAACTCTAGGCAGAAGCATTCACAGAAGCCTCATTGGGATGTTTCAATTGAAGTCACAGTGTTGAACAGTCCCTTTCATAGAGCAGGTTTGAAACACTCTTTTTGTAGTATCTGGATGTGGACATTTGGAGCGCTTTCAGGCCTATGGTGAAAAAGGAAATATCTTCCTCTGAAAACTAGACAGAAGCATTCTCAGAAACTTATTTGTGATGTGCGCCCTCAACTAACAGTGTTGAAGCTTTCTTTTCATAGAGCAGTTTTGAAAAACTCTTTTTGTGGAATCTGCAAGTGGATATTTGTCTAGCTTTGAGGATTTCGTTGGAAACGTGATTACATATAAAAAGCAGACAGCAGCATTCCCAGAAACTTCTTTGTGTTGTTTGCATTCAAGTCACAGAGTTGAACATTCCCTTTCATAGAGCAGGTTTGAAACATTCTTTTTGTAGTATCTGAATGTGGACATTTGGAGCGCTTTCAGGCCTATGGTGTAAAAGGAAATATCTTCCCCTGAAAACTAGACAGAAGCATTCTCAGAATCTTATTTGTGATGTGCGCCCTCAACTAACAGTGTTGAAGCTTTCTTTTGATAGAGCAGTTTTGAAACACTCTTTTTCTAAAATCTGCAAGAGGATATTTGGATAGCTTTGAGGATTTCGTTGGAAACGGGATTGTCTTCATATAACCTCTAGACAGAAGCATTCTCAGAAGCTTCATTGGGATGTTTCAATTGAAGTCACAGTGTTGAACAGTCCCTTTCATAGAGCAGGTTTGAAACACTCTTTTTGTAGTATCTGGAAGTGGACATTTGGAGCGCTTTCAGGCCTATGGTGAAAAAGGAAATATCTTCCTCTGAAATCTAGACAGAAGCATTCTCAGAAACTTATTTGTGATGTGCGCCCTCAACTAACAGTGTTGAAGCTTTCTTTTGATAGAGCAGTTTTGAAACACTCTTTTTCTAAAATCTGCAAGAGAATATTTGGATAGCTTTGAGGATTTCGTTGGAAACGGGATTGTCTTCATATAAACTCTAGACCGAAGCATTCTGAGAAGCTTCATTGGGATGTTTCAATTGAAGTCACAGTGTTGAACAGTCCCTTTCATAGAGCAGGTTTGAAACACTCTTTTTGTAGTATCTGGAAGTGGACATTTGGAGAGATCTCAGGACTACGGTGAAAAAGGAAATATCTTCCAATAAAAGCTAGATAGAAGCAATGTCAGAAACTTTTTCATGATGTGTCTACTCAGCTAACAGAGTTGAACCTTTCTTTTGAGAGAGCAGTTTTGAAACACTCTTTTTGTGGAATCTGCATGTGGATATTTGTCTAGCTTTGAGGATTTCGTTGGAAACGGGATTACATATAAAAAGCAGACAGCAGCATTCCCAGAATCTTCTTTGTGATGTTTGCATTCAAGTCACAGAGTTGAACATTCCTTTTCATAGAGCAGGTTTGAAACACTCTTTTTGTAGTATCTGGATGTGGACATTTGGAGCGCTTTCAGGCCTATGGTGAAAAAGGAAATATCTTCCCCTGAAAACTAGACAGAAGCATTCTCAGAATCTTATTTGTGATGTGCGCCCTCAACTAACAGTGTTGAAGCTTTCTTTTGATAGAGCAGTTTTGAAACACTCTTTTTGTAAAATCTGCAAGAGGATATTTGGATAGCTTTGAGGATTTCGTTGGAAACGGGATTGTCTTCATATAAACTCTAGACAGAAACATTCTCAGAAGCTTCATTGGGATGTTTCAATTGAAGTCACAGTGTTGAACAGTCCCTTTCATAGAGCAGGTTTGAAACACTCTTTTTGTAGTATCTGGAAGTGGACATTTGGAGAGATCTCAGGACTACGGTGAAAAAGGAAATATCTTCCAATAAAAGCTAGATAGAAGCAATGTCAGAAACTTTTTCATGATGTATCTACTCAGCTAACAGAGTTGAACATTTCTTTTGAGAGAGCAGTTTTGAAACACTCCTTTTGTGGAATCTGCAAGTGGATATTTGTCTAGCTTTGAGGATTTCGTTGGAAACGGGATTCCATATAAAAAGCAGACAGCAGCATTCCCAGAAACTTCTTTGTGATGTTTGCATTCAAGTCACAGGGTTGAACATTCCCTTTCATAGAGCAGGTTTGAAACACTCTTTTTGTAGTATCTGTATGGGGACATTTGGAGCGCTTTCAGGCCTATGGTGAAAAAGGAAATATCTTCCCCTGAAAACTAGACAGAAGCATTCTCAGAAACTTATTTGTGATGTGCGCCCTCAACTAACAGTGTTGAAGCTTTCTTTTGATAGAGCAGTTTTGAAACACTCTTTTTGTAAAATATGCAAGAGGATATTAAGATAGCTTTGAGGATTTCGTTGGAAACGGGATTGTCTTCATATAAACTCTAGACAGAAGCATTCTCAGAAGCTTCATTGGGATGTTTCAATTGAAGTCACAGTGTTGAACAGTTCCTTTCATAGAGCAAGTTTGAAACACTCTTTTTGTAGTATCTGGAAGTGGACATTTGGAGCGCTCTCCGGACTACAGTGAAAAAGGAAATATCTTCCAATAAAAGCTACATAGAAGCAATGTCAGAAACTTTTTCATGTTGTATCTACTCAGCTAACAGAGTTGAACCTTTCCTTTGAGGGAGCAGTTTTGAAACACTCTTTTTGTGGAATCTGCAAGTGGATATTTGTCTAGCTTTGAGGATTTCGTTGGAAACGGGATTACATATAAAAAGCAGACAGCAGCATTCCCAGTAACTTCTTTGTGATGTTTGCATTCAAGTCACAGAGTTGAACATTCCCTTTCATAGAGCAGGTTTGAAACACTCTTTTTGTAGTATCTGGATGTGGACATTTGGAGCGCTTTCAGGCCTATGGTGAAAAAGGAAATATCTTCCCCTGAAAACTAGACAGAAGCATTCTCAGAAACTTATTTGTGATGTGCGCCCTCAACTAACAGTGTTGAAGCTTTCTTTTGATAGAGCAGTTTGGAAACACTCTTTTTGTGGAATCTGCAAGTGGATATTTGTCTAGGTTTGAGGATATCGTTGGAAACGGGATTACATATAAAAAGCAGACAGCAGCATTCCCAGAATCTTGTTTGTGATTTTTGCATTCAAGTCACAGACTTGAACATTCCCTTTCAGAGAGCCGGTTTGAAACACTCTTTTTATAGAATCTGGATGTGGACATTTGGAGCGCTTTCAGGCCTATGGTGAAAAAGGAAATATCTTCCCCTGAAAACTAGACAGAAGCATTCTCAGAATCTTATTTGTGATGTGCGCCCTCAACTAACAGTGTTGAAGTTTTCTTTTGATAGAGCAGTTTTGAAACACTCTTTTTGTAAAATCTGCAAGAGGATATTTGGATAGCTTTGAGGATTTCCTTGGAAACGGGATTGTCTTCATATAAACTCTAGACAGAAGCATTCTCAGAAGCTTCATTGGGATGTTTCAATTGAAGTCACAGTGTTGAACAGTCCCTTTCATAGAGCAGGTTTGAAACACTCTTTTTGTAGTATCTGGAAGTGGACATTTGGAGAGATCTCAGTACTACGGTGAAAAAGGAAATATCTTCCAATAAAAGCTAGATAGAAGCAATGTCAGAAACTTTTTCATGATGTATCTACTCAGCTAACAGAGTTGAACCTTTCTTTTGAGAGAGCAGTTTTGAAACACTCTTTTTGTGGAATCTGCAAGTGGATATTTGTCTAGCTTTGAGGATTTCCTTGGAAACGGGATTACATATAAAAAGCAGACAGCAGCATTCCCAGTAACTTCTTTGTGATGTTTGCATTCAAGTCACAGAATTGAACATTCCCTTTCATAGAGCAGGTTTGAAACACACTTTTTGTAGTATCTGGATGTGGACATTTGGAGCACTTTCAGGCCTATGGTGAAAAAGGAAATATCTTCCCCTGAAAACTAGACAGAAGCCTTCTCAGAATCTTATTTGTGATGTGCGCCCTCAACTAACAGTGTTGAAGCTTTCTTTTGATAGAGCAGTTTTCAAACACTGTTTTTGTGGAATCTGCAAGTGGATATTTGTCTAGCTTTGAGGATTTCGTTGGAAACGGGATTACATATAAAAAGCAGACAGCAGCATTCCCAGAATCTTCTTTGTGATGTTTGCATTCAAGTCACAGAGTTGAACATTCCCTTTCATAGAGCAGGTTTGAAACACTCTTTTTGTAGTATCTGGATGTGGACATTTGGAGCGCTTTCAGGCCTATGGTGAAAAAGGAAATATCTTCCCCCGAAAACTAGACAGAAGCATTCTCAGAATCTTATTTGTGATGTGCGCCCTCAACTAACAGTGTTGAAGCTTTCTTTTGATAGAGCAGTTTTGAAACACTCTTTTTGTAAAATCTGCAAGAGGATATTTGGATAGCTTTGAGGATTTCGTTGGAAACGGGATTGTCTTCATATAACCTCTAGACGAAGCATTCTCAGAAGCCTCATTGGGATGTTTCAATTGAAGTCACAGTGTTGAACAGTCCCTTTCATAGAGCAGGTTTGAAACACTCTTTTTGTAGTATCTGGATGTGGACATTTGGAGCGCTTTCAGGCCTATGGTGAAAAAGGAAATATCTTCCTCTGAAAACTAGACAGAAGCATTCTCAGAAACTTATTTGTGATGTGCGCCCTCAACTAACAGTGTTGAAGCTTTCTTTTGATAGAGCAGTTTTGAAACACTCTTTTTGTGGAATCTGCAAGTGGATATTTGTCTAGCTTTGAGGATTTCGTTGGAAACGGGATTACATATAAAAAGCAGACAGCAGCATTCCCAGAAACTTCTTTGTGATGTTTGCATTCAAGTCACAGAGTTGAACATTCCCTTTCATAGAGCAGGTTTGAAACACTCTTTTTGTAGTATCTGGATGTGGACATTTGGAGCGCTTTCAGGCCTATGGTGAAAAAGGAAATATCTTCCCCTGAAAACTAGACAGAAGCATTCTCAGAATCTTATTTGTGATGTGCGCCCTCAACTAACAGTGCTGAAGCTTTCTTTTGATAGAGCAGTTTTGAAACACTCTTTTTGTAAAATCTGCAAGAGGATATTTGGATAGCTTTGAGGATTTCGTTGGAAACGGGATTGTCTTCATATAAACTCTAGACAGAAGCATTCTCAGAAGCTTCATTGGGATGTTTCAATTGAAGTCACAGTGTTGAACAGTCCCTTTCATAGAGCAGGTTTGAAACACTCTTTTTGTAGTATCTGGAAGTGGACATTTGGAGAGATCTCAGGACTACGGTGAAAAAGGAAATATCTTCCAATAAAAGCTAGATAGAAGAAAAGTCAGAAACTTTTTCATGATGTATCTACTCAGCTAACAGAGTTGAACCTTTCTTTTGAGAGAGCAGTTTTGAAACACTGTTTTTGTGGAATCTGCAAGTGGATATTTGTCTAGTTTTGAGGATTTCGTTGGAAACGGGATTACATATAAAAAGCAGACAGCAGCATTCCCAGAAACTTCTTTGTGATGTTGCATTCAAGTCACAGAGTTGAACATTCCCTTTCATAGAGCAGGTTGGAAACACTCTTTTTGTAGTATCTGGATGTGGACATTTGGAGCGCTTTCAGGCCTATGGTGAAAAAGGAAATATCTTCCCCTGAAAACTAGACAGAAGCATTCTCAGAAACTTATTTGTGATGTGCGCCCTGAACTAACAGTGTTGAAGCTTTCTTTTGATTGAGCAGTTTTGAAACACTCTTTTTGTAAAATCTACAAGAGGATATTTGGATAGCTTTGAGGATTTCGCTGGAAACGGGATTGTCTTCATATAAACTCTAGACAGAAGCATTCTCAGAAGCTTCATTGGGATGTTTCAATTGAAGTCACAGTGTTGAACAGTCCCTTTCATAGAGCAGGTTTGAAACACTCTTTTTGTAGTATCTGGAAGTGGACATTTGGAGAGATCTCAGGACTATGGTGAAAAAGGAAATATCTTCCAATAAAAGCTAGATAGAAGAAATGTCAGAAACTTTTTCATGATGTATCTACTCAGCTAACAGATTTGAACCTTTCTTTTGAGAGAGCAGTTTTGAAACACTCTTTTTGTGGAATCTGCAAGTGGATATTTGTCTAGCTTTGAGGATTTCGTTGGAAACGGGATTACATATAAAAAGCAGACAGCAGCATTCCCAGAAACTTCTTTGTGATGTTACATTCAACTCACAGAGTTGAACATTCCCTTTCATAGAGCAGGTTTGAAACACTCTTTTTGTAGTATCTGGATGTGGACATTTGGAGCGCTTTCAGGCCTATGGTGAAAAAGGAAATATCCTCCCCTGAAAACTAGACAGAAGCATTCTCAGAATCTTATTTGTGATGTGCGCCCTCAACTAACAGTGTTGAAGCTTTCTTTTGATAGAGCAGTTTTGAAACACTCTTTTTGTAAAATCTGCAAGAGGATATTTGGATAGCTTTGAGGATTTCGTTGGAAACGGGATTGTCTTCATATAAACTCTAGACAGAAGCATTCTCAGAAGCTTCATTGGGATGTTTCAATTGAAGTCACAGTGTTGAACAGTCCCTTTCATAGAGCAGGTTTGAAACACTCTTTTTGTAGTACCTGGAAATGGACATTTGGAGCGCTCTCAGGACTACGGTGAAAAAGGAAATATCTTCCAATAAAAGCTACATAGAAGCAATGTCAGAAACTTTTTCATGATGTATCTACTCAGCTAACAGAGTTGAACCTTTCTTTTGAGAGAGCAGTTTTGAAACACTCTTTTTGTGGAATCTGCAAGTGGATATTTGTCTAGCTTTGAGGATTTCGTTGGAAACGGGATTACATATAAAAAGCAGACAGCAGCATTCCCAGTAACTTGTTTGTGATGTTTCCATTCAAGTCACAGAGTTGAACATTCCCTTTCATAGAGCAGGTTTGAAACACTCTTTTTGTAGTATCTGGATGTGGACATTTGGAGCGCTTTCAGGCCTATGGTGAAAAAGGAAATATCTTCCCCTGAAAACTAGACAGAAGGATTCTCAGAAACTTATTTGTGATGTGCGCCCTCAACTAACAGTGTTGAAGCTTTCTTTTGATAGAGCAGTTTTGAAACACTCTTTTTGTAAAATCTGCAAGAGGATATTTGGATAGCTTTGAGGATTTCGTTGGAAACGGGATTGTCTTCATATAAACTCTAGACAGAAGCATTCTCAGAAGCTTCATTGGGATGTTTCAATTGAAGTCACAGTGTTGAACAGTCCCTTTCATAGAGCAGGTTTGAAACACTCTTTTTGTAGTATCTGGATGTGGACATTTGGAGCGCTTTCAGGCCTATGGTGAAAAAGGAAATATCTTCCCCTGAAAACTAGACAGAAGCATTCTCAGAAACTTATTTGTGATGTGCGCCCTCAACTAACAGTGTTGAAGCTTTCTTTTGATAGAGCAGTTTTGAAACACTCTTTTTGTGGAATCTGCAAGTGGATATTTGTCTAGCTTTAAGGATTTCGTTGGAAACGGGATTACATATAAAAAGCAGACAGCAGCATTCCCAGAATCTTCTTTGTGATGTTTGCATTCAAGTCCCAGAGTTGAACATTCCGTTTCATAGAGCAGGTTTGAAACACTCTTTTTATAGTATCTGGATGTGGACATTTGGAGCGCTTTCAGGCCTATGGTGAAAAAGGAAATATCTTCTCCTGAAAACAAGACAGAAGCATTCTCAGAATCTTATTTGTGATGTGCGCCCTCAGCTAACAGTGTTGAAGCTTTCTTTTGATAGAGCAGTTTTGAAACAATCTTTTTGTAAAATCTGCAAGAGGATATTTGGATAGCTTTGAGGATTTCATTGGAAACGGGATTTTCTTCATATAAACTCAAGACAGAAGCATTCTCAGAAGCTTCATTGGGATGTTTCAATTGAAGTCACAGTGTTGAACAGTCCCTTTCATAGAGCAGGTTTGAAACACTCTTTTTGTAGTATCTGGAAGTGGACATTTGGAGCGCTCTGAGGACTACGCTGAAAAAGGAAATATCTTCCAATAAAAGCTACATAGAAGCAATGTCAGAAACTTTTTCATGATGTATCTACTCAGCTAACAGAGTTGAAACTTTCTTTTGAGAGAGCAGTTTTGAAACACTCTTTTTGTGGAATCTGGAAGTGGATATTTGTCTAGCTTTGAGGATTTCGTTGGAAACGGGATTACATATAAAAAGCAGACAGCAGCATTCCCAGTAACTTCTTTGTGATGTTTGCATTCAAGTCACAGAGTTGAACATTCCCTTTCATAGAGCAGGTTTGAAACACTCTTTTTGTAGTATCTGGATGTGGACATTTGGAGCGCTTTCAGGCCTATGGTGAAAAAGGAAATATCTTCCCCTGAAAACTAGACAGAAGCATTCTCAGAATCTTATTTGTGATGTGCGCCCTCAACTAACAGTGTTGAAGCTTTCTTTTGATAGAGCAGTTTTGAAACACTCTTTTTGTAAAATCTGCAAGAGGATATTTGGATAGCTTTGAGGATTTCGTTGGAAACGGGATTGTCTTCATATAAACTCTAGACGAAGCATTCTCAGAAGCCTCATTGGGATGTTTCAATTGAAGTCACAGTGTTGAACAGTCCCTTTCATAGAGCAGGTTTGAAACACTCTTTTTGTAGTATCTGGATGTGGACATTTGGAGCGCTTTCAGGCCTATGGTGAAAAAGGAAATATCTTCCTCTGAAAACTAGACAGAAGCATTCTCAGAAACTTATTTGTGATGTGCGCCCTCAACTAACAGTGTTGAAGCTTTCTTTTGATAGAGCAGTTTTGAAACACTCTTTTTGTGGAATCTGCAAGTGGATATTTGTCTAGCTTTGAGGATATCGTTGGAAACGGGATTACATATAAAAAGCAGACAGCAGCATTCCCAGAAACTTCTTTGTGATGTTTGCATTCAAGTCACAGAGTTGAACATTCCCTTTCATAGAGCAGGTTTGAAACACTCTTTTTGTAGTATCTGGATGTGGACATTTGGAGCGCTTTCAGGCCTATGGTGAAAAAGGAAATATCTTCCCCTGAAAACTAGACAGAAGCATTCTCAGAATCTTATTTGTGATGTGCGCCCTCAACTAACAGTGCTGAAGCTTTCTTTTGATAGAGCAGTTTTGAAACACTCTTTTTGTAAAATCTGCAAGAGGATATTTGGATAGCTTTGAGGATTTCGTTGGAAACGGGATTGTCTTCATATAAACTCTAGACAGAAGCATTCTCAGAAGCTTCATTGGGATGTTTCAATTGAAGTCACAGTGTTGAACAGTCCCTTTCATAGAGCAGGTTTGAAACACTCTTTTTGTAGTATCTGGAAGTGGACATTTGGAGAGATCTCAGGACTACGGTGAAAAAGGAAATATCTTCCAATAAAAGCTAGATAGAAGAAAAGTCAGAAACTTTTTCATGATGTATCTACTCAGCTAACAGAGTTGAACCTTTCTTTTGAGAGAGCAGTTTTGAAACACTGTTTTTGTGGAATCTGCAAGTGGATATTTGTCTAGCTTTGAGGATTTCGTTGGAAACGGGATTACATATAAAAAGCAGACAGCAGCATTCCCAGAAACTTCTTTGTGATGTTTGCATTCAAGTCACAGAGTTGAACATTCCCTTTCATAGAGCAGGTTTGAAACACTCTTTTTGTAGTATCTGGATGTGGACATTTGGAGCGCTTTCAGGCCTATGGTGAAAAAGGAAATATCTTCCCCTGAAAACTAGACAGAAGCATTCTCAGAATCTTATTTGTGATGTGCGCCCTCAACTAACAGTGTTGAAGCTTTCTTTTGATAGACCAGTTTTGAAACACTCTTTTTGTGGAATCTGCAAGTGGATATTTGTCTAGCTTTGAGGATTTCGTTGGAAACGGGATTACATATAAAAAGCAGACAGCAGCATTCCCAGAATCTTCTTTGTGATGTTTGCATTCAACTCCCAGAGTTGGACATTCCCTTTCATAGAGCAGGTTTGAAACACTCTTTTTGTAGTATCTGGATGTGGACATTTGGAGCGCTTTCAGGCCTATGGTGAAAAAGGAAATATCTTCTCCTGAAAACTAGGCAGAAGCATTCTCAGAATCTTATTTGTGATGTGCGCACTCAGCTAACAGTGTTGAAGCTTTCTTTTGATAGAGCAGTTTTGAAACACTCTTTTTGTAAAATCTGCAAGAGGATATTTGGATAGCTTTGAGGATTTCGTTGGAAACGGGATTGTCTTCATATAAACTCTAGACAGAAGCATTCTCAGAAGCTTCATTGGGATGTTTCAATTGAAGTCACATTGTTGAACAGTCCCTTTCATAGAGCAGGTTTGAAACACTCTTTTTGTAGCACCTGGAAATGGACATTTTGAGCGCTCTCAGGACTACGGTGAAAAAGGAAATATCTTCCAATAAAAGCTACATAGAAGCAATGTCAGAAACTTTTTCATGATGTATCTACTCAGCTAACAGAGTTGAACCTTTCTTTTGATAGAGCAGTTTTGAAACACTCTTTTTGTAAAATCTGCAAGAGGATATTTGGATAGCTTTGAGGATTTCGTTGGAAACGGGATTGTCTTCATATAAACTCTAGACAGAAGCATTCTCAGAAGCTTCATTGGGATGTTTCAATTGAAGTCACAGTGTTGAACAGTTCCTTTCATAGAGCAGGTTTGAAACACTCTTTTTGTAGTATCTGGATGTGGACATTTGGAGCGCTTTCAGGCCTATGGTGAAAAAGGAAATATCTTCCCCTGAAAACTAGACAGAAGCATTCTCAGAATCTTATTTGTGATGTGCGCCCTCAACTAACAGTGTAGAAGCTTTCTTTTGATAGAGCAGTTTTGAAACACTCTTTTTGTAAAATCTGCAAGAGGATATTTGGATAGCTTTGAGGATTTCGTTGGAAACGGGATTGTCTTCATATAAACTCTAGACAGAAGCATTCTCAGAAGCTTCATTGGGATGTTTCAATTGAAGTCACAGTGTTGAACAGTCACTTTCATAGAGCAGGTTTGAAACACTCTTTTTGTAGTATCTGGATGTGGACATTTGGAGCGCTTTCAGGCCTATGGTGAAAAAGGAAATATCTTCCCCTGAAAACTAGACAGAAGCATTCTCAGAAACTTATTTGTGATGTGCGCCCTCAACTAACAGTGTTGAAGTTTTCTTTTGATAGAGCATTTTTGAAACACTCTTTTTGTGGAATCTGCATGTGGATATTTGTCTAGCTTTGAGGATTTCGTTGGAAACGGGATTACATATAAAAAGCAGACAGCAGCATTCCCAGAATCTTCTTTGTGATGTTTGCATTCAAGTCACAGAGTTGAACATTCCCTTTCATAGAGCAGGTTTGAAACACTCTTTTTGTAGTATCTGGATGTGGACATTTGGAGCGCTTTCAGGCCTATGGTGAAAAAGGAAATATCTTCCCCTGAAAACTAGACAGAAGCATTCTCAGAAACTTATTTGTGATGTGCGCCCTCAACTAACAGTGTTGAAGCTTTCTTTTGATAGAGCAGTTTTGAAACACTCTTTTTGTAAAATCTGCAAGAGGATATTTGGATAGCTTTGAGGATTTCGTTGGAAACGGGATTGTCTTCATATAAACTCTAGACAGAAGCATTCTCAGAAGCTTCATTGGGATGTTTCAATTGAAGTCACAGTGTTGAACAGTTCCTTTCATAGAGCAGGTTTGAAACACTCTTTTTGTAGTATCTGGAAGTGGACATTTGGAGCGCTCTCAGGACTACGGTGAAAAAGGAAATATCTTCCAATAAAAGCTACATAGAAGCAAGGTCAGAAACTTTTTCATGATGTATCTACTCAGCTAACAGAGTTGAACCTTTCCTTTGAGGGAGCAGTTTTGAAACTCTCTTTTTGTGGAATCTGCAAGTGGATATTTGTCTAGCTTTGAGGATTTCGTTGGAAACGGGATTACATATAAAAAGCAGACAGCAGCATTCCCAGTAACTTCTTTGTGATGTTTGCATTCAAGTCACAGAGTTGAACATTCCCTTTCATAGAGCAGGTTTGAAACACTCTTTTTGTAGTATCTGGATGTGGACATTTGGAGCGCTTTCAGGCCTATGGTGAAAAAGGAAATATCTTCCCCTGAAAACTAGACAGAAGCATTCTCAGAAACTTATTTGTGATGTGCGCCCTCAACTAACAGTGTTGAAGCTTTCTTTTGATAGAGCAGTTTTGAAACACTCTTTTTGTAAAATCTGCAAGAGGATATTTGGATAGCTTTGAGGATTTCGTTGGAAACGGGATTGTCTTCATATAAACTCTAGACAGAAGCATTCTCAGAAGCTTCATTGGGATGTTTCAATTGAAGTCACAGTGTTGAACAGTTCCTTTCATAGAGCAGGTTTGAAACACTCTTTTTGTAGTATCTGGAAGTGGACATTTGGAGCGCTCTCAGGACTACGGTGAAAAAGGAAATATCTTCCAATAAAAGCTAGATAGAAGCAATGTCAGAAACTTTTTCATGATGTATCTACTCAGCTAACAGAGTTGAACCTTTCTTTTGAGAGAGCCGTTTTGAAACACTCTTTTTGTGGAATCTGCAAGTGGATATTTGTCTAGCTTTGAGGATTTCGTTGGAAACGGGATTATATATAGAAAGCAGACAGCAGCATTCCCAGAATCTTCTTTGTGATGTTTGCATTCAAGTCACAGAGTTGAACATTCCCTTTCATAGAGCAGGTTTGAAACACTCTTTTTGTAGTATCTGGATGTGGACATTTGGAGCGCTTTCAGGCCTATGGTGAAAAAGGAAATATCTTCCCCTGAAAACTAGACAGAAGCATTCTCAGAATCTTATTTGTGATGTGCGCCCTCAACTAACAGTGTTGAAGCTTTCTTTTGATAGAGCAGTTTTGAAACACTCTTTTTGTAAAATCTGCAAGAGGATATTTGGATAGCTTTGAGGATTTCATTGCAAACGGGATTGTCTTCATATAAACTCTAGACAGAAGCATTCTCAGAAGCTTCATTGGGATGTTTCAATTGAAGTCACAGTGTTGAACAGTCCCTTTCATAGAGCAGGTTTGAAACACTCTTTTGGTAGTATCTGGAAGTGGACATTTGGAGCGCTCTCAGGACTGCGGTAAAAAAGGAAATATCTTCCAATAAAAGCTAGATAGAAGCAATGTCAGAAACTTTTTCATGATGTATCTACTCAGCTAACAGAGTTGAACCTTTCTTTTGAGAGAGCAGTTTTGAAACACTCTTTTTGTGGAATCTGCAAGTGGATATTTGTCTAGCTTTGAGGATTTCGTTGGAAACGGGATTACATATAAAAAGCAGACAGCAGCATTCCCAGAAACTTCTTTGTGACGTTTGCATTCAAGTCACAGAGTTGAACATTCCCTTTCATAGAGCAGGTTTGAAACACTCTTTTTGTAGTATCTGTATGTGGACATTTGGAGCGCTTTCAGTCCTATGGTGAAAAAGGAAATATCTTCCCCTGAAAACTAGACAGAAGCATTCTCAGAAACTTATTTGTGATGTGCGCCCTCAACTAACAGTGTTGAAGCTTTCTTTTGATAGAGCAGTTTTGAAACACTCTTTTTGTAAAATCTGCAAGAGGATATTTGGATAGCTTTGAGGATTTCGTTGGAAACGGGACTGTCTTCATATAAACTCTAGACAGAAGCATTCTCAGAAGCTTCATTGGGATGTTTCAATTGAAGTCACAGTGTTGAACAGTCCCTTTCATAGAGCAGGTTTGAAACACTCTTTTGGTAGTATCTGGAAGTGGACATTTGGAGCGCTCTCAGGACTGCGGTGAAAAAGGAAATATCTTCCAATAAAAGCTAGATAGAAGCAATGTCAGAAACTTTTTCATGATGTATCTACTCAGCTAACAGAGTTGAACCTTTCTTTTGAGAGAGCAGTTTTGAAACACTCTTTTTGTGGAATCTGCAAGTGGATATTTGTCTAGCTTTGAGGATTTCGTTGGAAACGGGATTACATATAAAAAGCAGACAGCAGCATTCCCAGTAACTTCTTTGTGATGTTTGCATTCAAGTCACAGAGTTGAACATTCCCTTTCATAGAGCAGGTTTGAAACAGTCTTTTTGTAGTATCTGGATGTGGACATTTGGAGCGCTTTCAGGCCTATGGTGAAAAAGGAAATATCTTCCCCTGAAAACTAGACAGAAGCATTCTCAGAATCTTATTTGTGATGTGCGCCCTCAACTAACAGTGTTGAAGCTTTCTTTTGATAGAGCAGTTTTGAAACACTCTTTTTGTAAAATCTGCAAGAGGATATTTGGATAGCTTTGAGGATTTCGTTGGAAACGGGATTGTCTTCATATAAACTCTAGACAGAAGCATTCTCAGAAGCTTCATTGGGATGTTTCAATTGAAGTCACAGTGTTGAACAGTCCCTTTCATAGAGCAGGTTTGAAACACTCTTTTTGTAGTATCTGGAAGTGGACATTTGGAGCGCTCTCAGGACTACGGTGAAAAAGGAATTATCTTCCAATAAAAGCTACATAGAAGCAATGTCAGAAACTTTTTCATGATGTATCTACTCAGCTAACAGAGTTGAACCTTTCTTTTGAGAGAGCAGTTTTGAAACACTCTTTTTGTGGAATCTGCAAGTGGATATTTGTCTAGCTGTGAGGATTTCGTTGGAAACGGGATTACATATAAAAAGCAGACAGCAGCATTCCCAGAAACTTCTTTGTGATGTTTGCATTCAAGTCACAGAGTTGAACATTCCCTTTCATAGAGCAGGTTTGAAACACTCTTTTTGTAGTATCTGGATGTGGACATTTGGAGCACGTTCAGGCCTATGGTGTAAAAGGAAATATCTTCCCCTGAAAACTAGACAGAAGCATTCTCAGAATCTTATTTGTGATGTGCGCCCTCAACTAACAGTGTTGAAGCTTTCTTTTGATAGAGCAGTTTTGAAACACTCTTTTTGTAAAATCTGCAAGAGGATATTTGGATAGATTTGAGGATTTCGTTGGAAACGGGATTGTCTTCATATAAACTCTAGACAGAAGCATTCTCAGAAGCTTCATTGGGATGTTTCAATTGAAGTCACAGTGTTGAACAGTCCCTTTCATAGAGCAGGTTTGAAACACTCTTTTTGTAGTATCTGGATGTGGACATTTGGAGCGCTTTCAGGCCTATGGTGAAAAAGGAAATATCTTCCCCTGAAAACTAGACAGAAGCATTCTCAGAAACTTATTTGTGATGTGCGCCCTCAACTAACAGTGTTGAAGCTTTCTTTTGATAGAGCAGTTTTGAAACACTCTTTTTGTGCAATCTGCAAGTGGATATTTGTCTAGCTTTGAGGATTTCGTTGGAAACGGGATTACATATAAAATGCAGACAGCAGCATTCCCAGAATCTTCTTTGTGATGTTTGCATTCAAGTCACAGAGTTGAACATTCCCTTTCATAGAGCAGGTTTGAAACACTCTTTTTATAGTATCTTGATGTGGACATTTGGAGCGCTTTCAGGCCCATGGTGAAAAAGGAAATATCTTCTCCTGAAAACTAGACAGAAGCATTCTCAGAATCTTATTTGTGATGTGCGCCCTCAACTAACAGTGTTGAAGCTTTCTTTTGTTAGAGCAGTTTTGAAACACTCTTTTTGTAAAATCTGCAAGAGGATATTTGGATAGCTATGAGGATTTCATTGGAAACGGGATTGTCTTCATATAAACTCTAGACAGAAGCATTCTCAGAAGCTTCATTGGGATGTTTCAATTGAAGTCACAGTGTTGAACAGTCCCTTTCATAGAGCAGGTTTGAAACACTCTTTTTGTAGTATCTGGAAGTGGACATTTGGAGCGCTCTCAGGACTACGGTGAAAAAGGAAATATCTTCCAATAAAAGCTACATAGAAGCAATGTCAGAAACTTTTTCATGATGTATCTACTCAGCTAACAGAGTTGAACCTTTCTTTTGAGAGAGCAGTTTTGAAACACTCTTTTTGTGGAATCTGGAAGTGGATATTTGTCTAGCTTTGAGGATTTCGTTGGAAACGGGATTACATATAAAAAGCAGACAGCAGCATTCCCAGTAACTTCTTTGTGATGTTTGCATTCAAGTCACAGAGTTGAACATTCCCTTTCATAGAGCAGGTTTGAAACACTCTTTTTGTAGTATCAGGATGTGGACATTTGGAGCGCTTTCAGGCCTATGGTGAAAAAGGAAATATCTTCCCCTGAAAACTAGACAGAAGCATTCTCAGAATCTTATTTGTGATGTGCGCCCTCAACTAACAGTGTTGAAGCTTTCTTTTGATAGAGCAGTTTTGAAACACTCTTTTTGTAAAATCTGCAAGAGGATATTTGGATAGCTTTGAGGATTTCGTTGGAACGGGATTGTCTTCATATAAACTCTAGACAGAAGCATTCTCAGAAGCTTCATTGGGATGTTTCAATTGAAGTCACAGTGTTGAACAGTCCCTTTCATAGAGCAGGTTTAGAAACACTCTTTTTGTAGTATCTGGAAGTGGACATTTGGAGAGATCTCAGGACTACGGTGAAAAAGGAAATATCTTCCAATAAAAGCTAGATAGAAGAAATGTCAGAAACTTTTTCATGATGTATCTACTCAGCTAACAGAGTTGAACCTTTCTTTTGAGAGAGCAGTTTTGAAACACTCTTTTTGTGGAATATGCAAGTGGATATTTGTCTAGCTTTGAGGATTTCGTTGGAAACGGGATTACATATAAAAAGCAGACAGCAGCATTCCCAGAAACTTCTTTGTGATGTTTGCATTCAAGTCACAGAGTTGAACATTCCCTTTCATAGAGCAGGTTTGAAACACTCTTTTTGTAGTATCTGGATGTGGACATTTGGAGCACTTTCAGGCCTATGGTGAAAAAGGAAATATCTTCCCCCGAAAACTAGACAGAAGCATTCTCAGAATGTTATTTGTGATGTGCGCCCTCAACTAACAGTGTTGAAGCTTTCTTTTGATAGAGCAGTTTTGAAACACTCTTTTTGTAAAATCTGCAAGAGGATATTTGGATAGCTTTGAGGATTTCGTTGGAAACGGGATTGTCTTCATATAAACTCTAGACAGAAGCATTCTCAGAAGCTTCATTGGGATGTTTCAATTGAAGTCACAGTGTTTAACAGTCCCTTTCATAGAGCAGGTTTGAAACACACTTTTTGTAGTATCTGGAAGTGGACATTTGGGGCGCTCTCAGGACTACGGTGAAAAAGGAAATATCTTCCAATAAAAGCTAGATAGAAGCAATGTCAGAAACTTTTTCATGATGTATCTACTCAGCTAACAGATTTGAACCTTTCTTTTGAGAGAGCAGTTTTAAAACACTCTTTTTGTGGAATATGCAAGTGGATATTTGTCTAGCTTTGAGGATTTCTTTGGAAACAGGATTACATATAAAAAGCAGACAGCAGCATTCCCAGAATCTTGTTTGTGATGTTTGTATTCAAGTCACAGGGTTGTACATTCCCTTTCAGAGAGCAGGTTTGAAACACTCTTTTTATAGAATCTGGATGTGGACATTTGGAGCGCTTTCAGGCCTATGGTGAAAAAGGAAATATCTTCTCCTGAAAACTAGACAGAAGCATTCTCAGAATCTTATTTGTGATGTGCGCCCTCAACTAACAGTGTTGAAGCTTTCTTTTGATAGAGCAGTTTTGAAACACTCTTTTTGTAAAATCTGCAAGAGGATATTTGGATAGCTTTGAGGATTTCATTGGAAACGGGATTGTCTTCATATAAACTCTAGACAGAAGCATTCTCAGAAGCTTCATTGGGATGTTTCAATTGAAGTCACAGTGTTGAACAGTCCCTTTCATAGAGCAGGTTTGAAACACTCTTTTTGTAGTATCTGCAAGTGGACATTTGGAGCGCTCTCAGGACTACGGTGAAAAAGGAAATATCTTCCAATAAAAGCTACATAGAAGCAATGTCAGAAACTTTTTCATGATGTATCTACTCAGCTAACAGAGTTGAACCTTTCTTTTGAGAGAGCACTTTTGAAACACTCTTTTTGTGGAATCTGCAAGTGGATATTTGTCTAGCTTTGAGGATTTCGTTGGAAACGGGATTACATATAAAAAGCAGACAGCAGCATTCCCAGTAACTTCTTTGTGATGTTTGCATTCAAGTCACAGAGTTGAACATTCCCTTTCATAGAGCAGGTTTGAAACACTCTTTTTGTAGTATCTGGATGTGGACATTTGGAGCGCTTTCAGGCCTATGGTGAAAAAGGAAATATCTTCCCCTGAAAACTAGACAGAAGCATTCTCAGAATCTTATTTGTGATGTGCGCCCTCAACTAACAGTGTTGAAGCTTTCTTTTGATAGAGCAGTTTTGAAACACTCTCTTTGTAAAATCTGCAAGAGGATATTTGGATAGCTGTGAGGATTTCGTTGGAAACGGGATTGTCTTCATATAAACTCTAGACAGAAGCATTCTCAGAAGCTTCATTGGGATGTTTCAATTGAAGTCACAGTGTTGAACAGTCCCTTTCATAGAGCAGGTTTGAAACACTCTTTTTGTAGTATCTGGATGTGGACATTTGGAGCGCTTTCAGGTCTATGGTGAAAAAGGAAATATCTTCCCCTGAAAACTAGACAGAAGCATTCTCAGAAACTTATTTGTGATGTGCGCCCTCAACTAACAGTGTTGAAGCTTTCTTTTGATAGAGCAGTTTTGAAACACTCTTTTTGTGGAATCTGCAAGTGGATATTTGTCTAGCTTTGAGGATTTCGTTGGAAACAGGATTACATATAAAAAGCAGACAGCAGCATTCCCAGTAACTTCTTTGTGATGTTTGCATTCAACTCCCAGAGTTGAACATTCCCTTTCATAGAGCAGGTTTGAAACACTCTTTTTGTAGTATCTGGATGTGGAAATTTGGAGCGCTTTCAGGCCTATGGTGAAAAAGGAAATATCTTCCCCTGAAAACTAGACAGAAGCATTCTCAGAATCTTATTTGTGATGTGCGCCCTCAACTAACAGTGTTGAAGCTTTCTTTTGATAGAGCAGTTTTGAAACACTCTTTTTGTAAAATCTGCAAGAGGATATTTGGATAGCTGTGAGGATTTCGTTGGAAACGGGATTGTCTTCATATAAACTCTAGACAGCAGCATTCCCAGAATCTTCTTTGTGATGTTTGCATTCAACTCCCAGAGTTGAACATTCCCTTTCATAGAGCAGGTTTGAAACACTCTTTTTGTAGTATCTGCAAGTGGACATTTGGAGCGCTCTCAGGACTACGGTGAAAAAGGAAATATCTTCCAATAAAAGCTAGATAGAAGCAATGTCAGAAACTTTTTCATGATGTATCTACTCAGCTAACAGAGTTGAACCTTTCTTTTGAGAGAGCAGTTTTGAAACACTGTTTTTGTGGAATCTGCAAGTGGATATTTGTCTAGCTTTGAGGATTTCGTTGGAAACGGGATTACATATAAAAAGCAGACAGCAGCATTCCCAGAAACTTCTTTGTGAAGTTTGCATTCAAGTCACAGAGTTGAACATTCCCTTTCATAGAGCAGGTTTGAAACACTCTTTTTGTAGTATCTGTATGTGGACATTTGGAGCGCTTTCAGGCCTATGGTGAAAAAGGAAATATCTTCCCCTGAAAACTAGACAGAAGCATTCTCAGAAACTTATTTGTGATGTGCGCCCTCAACTAACAGTGTTGAAGCTTTCTTTTGATAGAGCAGTTTTGAAACACTCTTTTTGTAAAATCTGCAAGAGGATATTTGGATAGCTTTGAGGATTTCGTTGGAAACGGGATTGTCTTCATGTAAACTCTAGACAGAAGCATTCTCAGAAGCTTCATTGGGATGTTTCAATTGAAGTCACAGTGTTGAACAGTCCCTTTCATAGAGCAGGTTTGAAACACTCTTTTTGTAGTATCTGGAAGTGGACATTTGGAGAGATCTCAGGACTACGGTGACAAAGGAAATATCTTCCAATAAAAGCTAGATAGAAGAAATGTCAGAAACTTTTTCATGATGTATCTACTCAGCTAACAGAGTTGAACCTTTCTTTTGAGAGAGCAGTTTTGAAACACTCTTTTTGTGGAATCTGCAAGTGGATATTTGTCTAGCTTTGAGGATTTCGTTGGAAACGGGATTACATATAAAAAGCAGACAGCAGCATTCCCAGAAACTTCTTTGTGATGTTGCATTCAAGTCACAGAGTTGAACGTTCCCTTTCATAGAGCAGGTTTGAAACACTCTTTTTGTAGTATCTGGATGTGGACATTTGGAGCGCTTTCAGGCCTATGGTGAAAAAGGAAATATCTTCCCCTGAAAACTAGACAGAAGCATTCTCAGAATCTTATTTGTGATGTGCGCCCTCAACTAACAGTGTTGAAGCTTTCTTTTGATAGAGCAGTTTTGAAACACTCTTTTTGTAAAATCTGCAAGAGGATATTTGGATAGCTTTGAGGATTTCATTGGAAACGGGATTGTCTTCATATAAACTCTAGACAGAAGCATTCTCAGAAGCTTCATTGGGATGTTTCAATTGAAGTCACAGTGTTGAACAGTCCCTTTCATAGAGCAGGTTTGAAACACTCTTTTTGTAGTATCTGGAAGAGGACATTTGGAGCGCTCTCAGGACTACGGTGAAAAAGGAAATATCTTCTAATAAAAGCTACATAGAAGCAATGTCAGAAACTTTTTCATGATGTATCTACTCAGCTAACAGAGTTGAACCTTTCCTTTGAGAGAGCAGTTTTGAAACACTCTTTTTGTGGAATCTGCAAGTGGATATTTGTCTAGCTTTGAGGATTTCGTTGGAAACGGGATTACATATAAAAAGCAGACAGCAGCATTCCCAGAATCTTCTTTGTGATGTTTGCATTCAAGTCACAGAGTTGAACATTCCCTTTCAGAGAGCAGGTTTGAAACACTCTTTTTATAGAATCTGGATGTGGACATTTGGAGCGCTTTCAGGCCTATGGTGAAAAAGGAAATATCTTCCTCTGAAAACTAGACAGAAGCATTCTCAGAATCTTATTTGTGATGTGCGCCCTCAACTAACAGTGTTGAAGCTTTCTTTTGATAGATCAGTTTTGAAACACACTTTTTGTAAAATCTGCAAGAGGATATTTGGATAGCTTTGAGGATTTCATTGGAAACGGGACTGTCTTCATAATAACTCTAGACAGAAGCATTCTCAGAAGCTTCATTGGGATGTTTCAATTGAAGTCACAGTGTTGAACAGTCCCTTTCATAGAGCAGGTTTGAAACACTCTTTTTGTAGTATCTGGAAGTGGACATTTGGAGAGATCTCAGGACTACGGTGAAAAAGGAAATATCTTCCAATAAAAGCTAGATAGAAGCAATGTCAGAAACTTTTTCATGATGTGTCTACTCAGCTAACAGAGTTGAACCTTTCTTTTGAGAGAGCAGTTTTGAAACACTCATTTTGTGGAATCTGCAAGTGGATATTTGTCTAGCTTTGAGGATTTCGTTGGAAACGGGATTACATATAAAAAGCAGACAGCAGCATTCCCAGTAACTTCTTTGTGATGTTTGCATTCAAGTCACAGAGTTGAACATTCCCTTTCAGAGAGCAGGTTTGAAACACTCTTTTTGTAGTATCTCGATGTGGACATTTGGAGCGTTTTCAGGCCTATGGTGAAAAAGGAAATATCTTCCCCTGAAAACTAGACAGAAGCATTCTCAGAATCTTATTTGTGATGTGCGCCCTCAACTAACAGTGTTGAAGCTTTCTTTTGATAGAGCAGTTTTGAAACACTCTTTTTGTAAAATCTGCAAGAGGATATTTGGATAGCTTTGAGGATTTAATTGGTAACGGGATTGTCTTCATATAAACTCTAGACAGAAGCATTCTCAGAAGCTTCATTGGGATGTTTCAATTGAATTCACAGTGTTGAACAGTCCCTTTCATAGAGCAGGTTTGAAACACTCTTTTTGTAGTATCTTGAAGTGGACATTTGGAGCGCTCTCAGGACTGCGGTGAAAAAGGAAATATCTTCCAATAAAAGCTAGATGGAAGCAATGTCAGAAACTTTTTCATGATGTATCTACTCAGCTAACAGAGTTGAACCTTTCTTTTGAGAGAGCAGTTTTGAAACACTCTTTTTGTGGAATCTGCAAGTGGATACTTGTCTAGCTTTGAGGATTTCGTTGGAAACGGGATTACATATAAAAAGCAGGCAGCAGCATTCCTAGAAACTTCTTTGTGATGTTTGCATTCAAGTCACAGAGTTGCACATTCCCTTTCATAGAGCAGGTTTGAAACACTCTTTTTGTAGTATCTGGATGTGGACATTTGGAGCGCTTTCAGGCCTATGGTGAAAAAGGAAATATCTTCCCCTGAAAAGTAGACAGAAGCATTCTCAGAAACTTATTTGTGATGTGCGCCCTCAACTAACAGTGTTGAAGCTTTCTTTTGATAGAGCAGTTTTGAAACACTCTTTTTGTAAAATCTGCAAGAGGATATTTGGATAGCTTTGAGGATTTCGTTGGAAACGGGATTGTCTTCATATAAACTCTAGACAGAAGCATTCTCAGAAGCTTCATTGGGATGTTTCAATTGAAGTCACAGTGTTGAACAGTTCCTTTCATAGAGCAGGTTTGAAACACTCTTTTTGTAGTATCTGGAAGTGGACATTTGGAGCGCCCTCAGGACTACGGTGAAAAAGGAAATATCTTCCAATAAAAGCTACATAGAAGCAATGTCAGAAACTTTTTCATGATGTATCTACTCAGCTAACAGAGTTGAACCTTCCTTTGAGAGAGCAGTTTTGAAACACTCTTTTTGTGGAATCTGCAAGTGGATATTTGTCTAGCTTTGAGGATTTCGTTGGAAACGGGATTACATATAAAAAACAGACAGCAGCATTCCCAGAAACTTCTTTGTGAAGTTTGCATTCAAGTCACAGAGTTGAACATTCCCTTTCATAGAGCAGGTTTGAAACACTATTTTTGTAGTATCTGTATGTGGACATTTGGAGCGCTTTCAGGCCTATGGTGAAAAAGGAAATATCTTCCCCTGAAAACTAGACAGAAGCATTCTCAGAATCTTATTTGTGATGTGCGCCCTCAACTAACAGTGTTGAAGCTTTCTTTTGATAGAGCAGTTTTGAAACACTCTTTTTGTAAAATCTGCAACAGGATATTTGGATAGCTTTGAGGATTTCATTGGAAACGGGATTGTCTTCATATAAACTCTAGACAGAAGCATTCTCAGAAGCTTCATTCGGATGTTTCAATTGAAGTCACAGTGTTGAACAGTCCCTTTCATAGAGCAGGTTTGAAACACTCTTTTTGTAGTATCTGGAAGTGGACATTTGGAGCGCTCTCAGGACTGCGGTGAAAAAGGAAATATCTTCCAATAAAAGCTAGATAGAAGCAATGTCAGAAACTTTTTCATGATGTATCTACTAAGCTAACAGAGTTGAACCTTTCTTTTGAGAGAGCAGTTTTGAAACACTCTTTTTGTGGAATCTGCAACTGGATACTTGTCTAGCTTTGAGGATTTCGTTGGAAACGGGATTACATATAAAAAGCAGACAGCAGCATTCCCAGAAACTTCTTTGTGATGTTTGCATTCAAGTCACAGAGTTGAACATTCCCTTTCATAGAGCAGGTTTGAAACACTCTTTTTGTAGTATCTGGATGTGGACATTTGGAGCGCTTTCAGGCCTATGGTGAAAAAGGAAATATCTTCCCCTGAAAACTAGACAGAAGCATTCTCAGAAACTTATTTGTGATGTGCGCCCTCAACTAACAGTGTTGAAGCTTTCTTTTGATAGAGCAGTTTTGAAACACTCTTTTTGTAAAATCTGCAAGAGGATATTTGGATAGCTTTGAGGATTTCGTTGGAAACGGGATTGTCTTCATATAAACTCTAGACAGAAGCATTCTCAGAAGCTTCATTGGGATGTTTCAATTGAAGTCACAGTGTTGAACACTCCCTTTCATAGAGCACGTTTGAATCACTCTTTTTGTAGTATCTGGAAGTGGACATTTGGAGCGCTCTCAGGACTACGGTGAAAAAGGAAATATCTTCTAATAAAAGCTACATAGAAGCAATGTCAGAAACTTTTTCATGATGTATCTACTCAGCTAACACAGTTGAACCTTTCCTTTGAGAGAGCAGTTTTGAAACACTCTTTTTGTGGAATCTGCAAGTGGATATTTGTCTAGCTTTGAGGATTTCGTTGGAAACGGGATTACATATAAAAAGCAGACAGCAGCATTCCCAGAATCTTGTTTGTGATGTTTGCATTCAAGTCACAGAGTTGAACATTCCCTTTCAGAGAGCAGGTTTGAAACACTCTTTTTATAGAATCTGGATGTGGACATTTGGAGCGCTTTCAGGCCTATGGTGAAAAAGGAAATATCTTCTCCTGAAAACTAGACAGAAGCATTCTCAGAATCTTATTTGTGATGTGCGCCCTCAACTAACAGTGTTGAAGCTTTCTTTTGATAGAGCAGTTTTGAAACACACTTTTTGTAAAATCTGCAAGAGGATATTTGGATAGCTTTGAGGATTTCATTGGAAACGGGACTGTCTTCATATAAACTCTAGACAGAAGCATTCTCAGAAGCTTCATTGGGATGTTTCAATTGAAGTCACAGTGTTGAACAGTCCCTTTCATAGAGCAGGTTTGAAACACTCTTTTTGTAGTATCTGGAAGTGGACATTTGGAGAGATCTCAGGACTACGGTGAAAAAGGAAATATCTTCCAATAAAAGCTAGATAGAAGCAATGTCAGAAACTTTTTCATGATGTATCTACTCAGCTAACAGAGTTGAACCTTTCTTTTGAGAGAGCAGATTTGAAACACTCTTTTTGTGGAATCTGGAAGTGGATATTTGTCTAGCTTTGAGGATTTCGTTGGAAACGGGATTACATATAAAAAGCAGACAGCAGCATTCCCAGTAACTTCTTTGTGATGTTTGCATTCAACTCACAGAGTTGAACATTCCCTTTCATAGAGCAGGTTTGAAACACTCTTTTTGTAGTATCTGGATGTGGACATTTGGAGCGCTTTCAGGCCTATGGTGAAAAAGGAAATATCTTCCCCTGAAAACTAGACAGAAGCATTCTCAGAATCTTATTTGTGATGTGCGCCCTCAACTAACAGTGTTGAAGCTTTCTTTTGATAGAGCAGTTTTGAAACACTCTTTTTGTAAAATCTGCAAGAGGATATTTGGATAGCTTTGAGGATTTCGTTGGAAACGGGATTGTCTTCATATAAACTCTAGACAGAAGCATTCTCAGAAGCTTCATTGGGATGTTTCAATTGAAGTCACAGTGTTGAACAGTCCCTTTCATAGAGCAGGTTTGAAACACTCTTTTTGTAGTATCTGGAAGTGGACATTTGGAGCGCTCTCACGACTACGGTGAAAAAGGAAGTATCTTCCAATAAAAGCTAGATAGAAGCAATGTCAGAAACTTTTTCATGATGTATCTACTCAGCTAACAGAGTTGAACCTTTCTTTTGAGAGAGCAGTTTTGAAAAACTCTTTTTGTGGAATCTGGAAGTGGATATTTGTCTAGCTTTGAGGATTTCGTTGGAAACGGGATTACATATAAAAAGCAGACAGCAGCATTCCCAGTAACTTCTTTGTGATGTTTGCATTCAAGTCACAGAGTTGAACATTCCCTTTCATAGAGCAGGTTTGAAACACTCTTTTTGTAGTAACTGGATGTGGACATTTGCAGCGCTTTCAGGCCTAAGGTGAAAAAGGAAATATCTTCCCCTGAAAACTAGACAGAAGCATTCTCAGAAACTTATTTGTGATGTGCGCCCTCAACTAACAATGTTGAAGCTTTCTTTTGATAGAGCAGTTTTGAAACACTCTTTTTGTGGAATCTGCAAGTGGATATTTGTCTAGCTTTGAGGATTTCGTTGGAAACGGGATTACATATAAAAAGCAGACAGCAGCATTCCCAGAATCTTCTTTGTGATGTTTGCATTCAAGTCACAGAGTTGAACATTCCCTTTCATAGAGCAGGTTTGAAACACTCTTTTTGTAGTATCTGGATGTGGACATTTGGAGCGCTTTCAGGCCTATGGTGAAAAAGGAAATATCTTCCCCTGAAAACTAGACAGAAGCATTCTCAGAATCTTATTTGTGATGTGCGCCCTCAACTAACAGTGTTGAAGCTTTCTTTTGATAGAGCAGTTTTGAAACACTCTTTTTGTAAAATCTGCAAGAGGATACTTGGATAGCTTTGAGGATTTCGTTGGAAACAGGATTGTCTTCATATAAACTCTAGACAGAAGCATTCTCAGAAGCTTCATTGGGATGTTTCAATTGAAGTCACAGTGTTGAACAGTCCCTTTCATAGAGCAGGTTTGAAACACTCTTTTTGTAGTATCTGGAAGTGGACATTTGGAGAGATCTCAGGAATACGGTGATAAAGGAAATATCTTCCAATAAAAGCTAGATAGAAGCAATGTCAGAAACTTTTTCATGATGTATCTACTCAGCTAACAGAGTTGAACCTTTCTTTTGAGAGAACAGTTTTGAAACACTCTTTTTGTGGAATCTGCAAGTGGATATTTGTCTAGCTTTGAGGATTTCGTTGGAAACGGGATTACATATAAAAAGCAGACAGCAGCATTCCCAGAAACTTCTTTGTGATGTTTGCATTCAAGTCACCGAGTTGAACATTCCCTTTCATAGAGCAGGTTTGAAACACTCTTTTTGTAGTATCTGGATGTGGACATTTGGAGCGCTTTCAGTCCTATGGTGAAAAAGGAAATATCTTCCCCTGAAAACTAGACAGAAGCATTCTCAGAATCTTATTTGTGATGTGCGCCCTCAACTAACAGTGTTGAAGCTTTCTTTTGAAAGAGCAGTTTTGAAACACTCTTTTTGTAAAATCTGCAAGAGGATATTTGGATAGCTTTGAGGATTTCATTGGAAACGGGATTGTCTCCATATAAACTCTAGACAGAAGCATTCTCAGAAGCTTCATTGGGATGTTTCAATTGAAGTCACAGTGTTGAACAGTCCCTTTCATAGAGCAGGTTTGAAACACTCTTTTTGTAGTATCTGGAAGTGGACATTTGGAGCGCTCTCAGGACTACGGTGAAAAAGGAAATATCTTCCAATAAAAGCTACATAGAAGCAATATCAGAAACTTTTTCATGATGTATCTACTCAGCTAACAGAGTTGAACCTTTCTTTTGAGAGAGCAGTTTGGAAACACTCTTTTTGTGGAATCTGCAAGTGGATATTTGTCTAGCTTTGAGGATTTCGTTGGAAACGGGATTACATATAGAAAGCAGACAGCAGCATTCCCAGAAACTTCTTTGTGATGTTTGCATTCAAGTCACAGAGTTGAACATTCCCTTTCATAGAGCAGGTTTGAAACACTCTTTTTGTAGTATCTGGATGTGGACATTTGGAGCGCTTTCAGGCCTATGGTGAAAAAGGAAATATCTTCCCCTGAAAACTAGACAGAAGCATTCTCAGAATCTTATTTGTGATGTGCGCCCTCAACTAACAGTGTTGAAGCTTTCTTTTGATAGAGCAGTTTTGAAACACTCTTTTTGTAAAATCTGCAAGAGGATACTTGGATAGCTTTGAGGATTTCGTTGGAAACGGGATTGTCTTCATATAAACTCTAGACAGAAGCATTCTCAGAAGCTTCATTGGGATGTTTCAATTGAAGTCACAGTGTTGAACAGTCCCTTTCATAGAGCAGGTTTGAAACACTCTTTTTGTAGTATCTGGAAATGGACATTTGGAGAGATCTCAGGAATACGGTGATAAAGGAAATATCTTCCAATAAAAGCTAGATAGAAGCAATGTCAGAAACTTTTTCATGATGTATCTACTCAGCTAACAGAGTTGAACCTTTCTTTTGAGAGAACAGTTTTGAAACACTCTTTTTGTGGAATCTGCAAGTGGATATTTGTCTAGCATTGAGGATTTCGTTGGAAACGGGATTACATATAAAAAGCAGACAGCAGCATTCCCAGAAACTTCTTTGTGATGTTTGCATTCAAGTCACCGAGTTGAACATTCCCTTTCATAGAGCAGGTTTGAAACACTCTTTTTGTAGTATCTGGATGTGGACATTTGGAGCGCTTTCAGGCCTATGGTGAAAAAGGAAATATCTTCCCCTGAAAACTAGACAGAAGCATTCTCAGAATCTTATTTGTGATGTGCGCCCTCAACTAACAGTGTTGAAGCTTTCTTTTGATAGAGCAGTTTTGAAACACTCTTTTTGTAAAATCTGCAAGAGGATATTTGGATAGCTTTGAGGATTTCATTGGAAACGGGATTGTCTTCATATAAACTCTAGACAGAAGCATTCTCAGAAGCTACATTGGGATGTTTCAATTGAAGTCACAGTGTTGAACAGTCCCTTTCATAGAGCAGGTTTGAAACACTCTTTTTGTAGTATCTGGATGTGGACATTTGGAGCGCTTTCAGGCCTATGGTGAAAAAGGAAATATCTTCCCCTGAAAACTAGACAGAAGCATTCTCAGAAACTTATTTGTGATGTGCGCCCTCAACTAACAGTGTTGAAGCTTTCTTTTGATAGAGCAGTTTTGAAACACTCTTTTTGGGGAATCTGCAAGTGGATATTTTTCTAGCTTTGAGGATTTCGTTGGAAACGGGATTACATATAAAAAGCAGACAGCAGCATTCCCGGAATCTTGTTTGTGATGTTTGCATTCAAGTCACAGAGTTGAACATTCCCTTTCAGAGAGCAGGTTTGAAACACTCTTTTTGTAGTATCTGGATGTGGACATTTGCAGCGCTTTCAGGCCTATGGTGAAAAAGGAAATATCTTCTCCTGAAAACTAGACAGAAGCATTCTCAGAATCTTGTTTGTGATGTGCGCCCTCAACTAACAGTGTTGAAGCTTTCTTTTGATAGAGCAGTTTTGAAACACTCTTTTCGTAAAATCTGCAAGAGGATATTTTGATAGCTTTGAGGATTTCGTTAGAAACGGGATTGTCTTCATATAAACTCTAGACAGAAGCATTCTCAGAAGCTTCATTGGGATGTTTCAATTGAAGTCACAGTGTTGAACAGTCCCTGTCATAGAGCAGGTTTGAAACACTCTTTTTGTAGTATCTGGAAGTGGACATTTGGAGAGATCTCAGGAATACGGTGATAAAGGAAATATCTTCCAATAAAAGCTAGTTAGAAGCAATGTCAGAAACTTTTTCATGATGTATCTACTCAGCTAACAGAGTTGAACCTTTCTTTTGAGAGAGCAGTTTTGAAACACTCTTTTTGTAGTATCTGGAAGTGGACATTTGGAACGCTCTCAGGACTGCGGTGAAAAAGGAAATATCTTCCAATAAAAGCTAGATAGAAGCAATGCCACAAACTTTTTCATGATATATCTACTCAGCTAACAGAGTTGGACCTTTCTTTTGAGAGAGCAGTTTTGAAACACTCTTTTTGTGGAATCTGCAAGTGGATATTTGTCTAGCTTTGAGGATTTCGTTGGAAACGGGATTACATATAAAAAGCAGACAGCAGCATTCCCAGAAACTTCTTTGTGATGTTTGCATTTAAGTCACAGAGTTGAACATTCCCTTTCATAGAGCAGGTTTGAAACACTCTTTTTGTAGAATCTGTATGTGTACATTTGGAGCGCTTTCAGGCCTATGGTGAAAAAGGAAATATCTTCCCCTGAAAACTAGACAGAAGCATTCTCAGAAACTTATTTGTGATGTGCGCCCTCAACTAACAGTGTTGAACCTTTCTTTTGATAGAGCCGTTTTGAAACACTCTTTTTGTAATATCTGCAAGAGGATATTTGGATAGCTTTGAGGATTTCGTTGGAAACAGGATTGTCTTCATATAAACTCTAGACAGAAGCATTCTCAGAAGCTTCATTGGGATGTTTCAATTGAAGTCACAGTGTTGAACAGTCCCTTTCATAGAGCAGGTTTGAAACACTCTTTTTGTAGTATCTGGAAGTGGACATTTGGAGCGCTCTCAGGACTGCGGTGAAAAAGGAAATATCTTCCAATAAAGGCTACATAGAAGCAATGTCAGAAACTTTTTCATGATGTATCTACTCAGCTAACAGAGTTGAACCTTCCTTTGAGAGAGCAGTTTTGAAACACTCTTTTTGTGGAATCTGCAAGTGGATATTTGTCTAGCTTTGAGGATTTCGTTGGAAACGGGATTACATATAAAAAGCAGACAGCAGCATTCCCAGAAACTTCTTTGTGATGTTTGCATTCAAGTCACAGAGTTGAACATTCCCTTTCATAGAGCAGGATTGAAACACTCTTTTTGTAGTATCTGGATGTGGACATTTGGAGCGCTTTCAGGCCTAAGGTGAAAAAGGAAATATCTTCCCCTGAAAACTAGACAGAAGCATTCTCAGAAACTTATTTGTGATGTGCGCCCTCAACTAACAGTGTTGAAGCTTTCTTTTGATAGAGCAGTTTTGAAACACTCTTTTTGTGGAATCTGCAAGTGGATATTTTTCTAGCTTTGAGGATTTCGTTGGAAACGGGATTACATATAAAAAGCAGACAGCAGCATTCCCAGAATCTTGTTTGTGATGTTTGCATTCAACTCACAGAGTTGAACATTCCCTTTCAGAGAGCAGGTTTGAAACACTCTTTTTATAGTATCTGGATGTGGACATTTGGAGCGCTTTCAGGCCTATGGTGAAAAAGGAAATATCTTCTCCTGAAAACTAGACAGAAGCATTCTCAGAATCTTATTTGTGATGTGCTCCCTCAACTAACAGTGTTGAAGCTTTCTTTTGATAGAGCAGTTTTGAAACACTCTTTTCGTAAAATCTGCAAGAGGATATTTTGATAGATTTGAGGATTTCGTTGGAAACGGGATTGTCTTCATATAAACTCTAGACAGAAGCATTCTCAGAAGCTTCATTGGGATGTTTCAATTGAAGTCACAGTGTTGAACAGTCCCTGTCATAGAGCAGGTTTGAAACACTCTTTTTGTAGTATCTGGAACTGGACATTTGGAGAGATCTCAGGAATACGGTGATAAAGGAAATATCTTCCAATAAAAGCTAGATAGAAGCAATGTCAGAAACTTTTTCATGATGTATCTACTCAGCTAACAGAGTTGAACCTTTCTTTTGAGAGAGCAGTTTTGAAACACTCTTTTTGTAGTATCTGGAAGTGGACATTTGGAGCGCTCTCAGGACTGCGGTGAAAAAGGAAATATCTTCCAATAAAAGCTAGATAGAACCAATGTCAGAAACTTTTTCATGATGTATCCACTCAGCTAACAGAGTTGAACCTTTCTTTTGAGAGAGCAGTTTTGAAACACTCTTTTTGTGGAATCTGCAAGTGGATATTTGTCTACATTTGAGGATTTCGTTGGAAACGGGATTACATATAAAAAGCAGACAGCAGCATTCCCAGAAACTTCTTTGTGATGTTTGCATTCAAGTCACAGAGTTGAACATTCCCTTTCATAGAGCAGGTTTGAAACACTCTTTTTGTAGAATCTGTATGTGGACATTTGGAGCGCTTTCAGGCCTATGGTGAAAAAGGAAATATCTTCCCCTGAAAACTAGACAGAAGCATTCTCAGAAACTTATTTGTGATGTGCGCCCTCAACTAACAGTGTTGAACCTTTCTTTTGATAGAGCAGTTTTGAAACACTCTTTTTGTAATATCTGCAAGAGGATATTTTGATAGCTTTGAGGATTTCGTTGGAAACGGGATTGTCTTCATATAAACTCTAGACAGAAGCATTCTCAGAAGCTTCAATGGGATGTTTCAATTGAAGTCACAGTGTTGAACAGTTCCTTTCATAGAGCAGGTTTGAAACACTCTTTTTGTAGTATCTGGAAGTGGACATTTGGAGCGCTCTCAGGACTAAGGTGATAAAGGAAATATCTTCCAATAAAAGCTAGATTGAAGCAATGTCAGAAACTTTTTCATGACGTATCTACTCAGCTAACAGAGTTGAAACTTTCCTTTGAGAGAGCAGTTTTGAAACACTCTTTTTGTGGAATCTGCAAGTGGATATTTGTCTAGCTTTGAGGATTTCGTTGGAAACGGGATTACATATAAAAAGCAGACAGCAGCATTCCCAGTAACTTCTTTGTGATGTTTGCATTCAAGTCACAGAGTTGAACATTCCCTTTCATAGAGCAGGTTTGAAACACTCTTTTTGTAGTATCTGGATGTGGACATTTGGAGCGCTTTCAGGCCTATGGTGAAAAAGGAAATATCTTCTCCTGAAAACTAGACAGAAGCATTCTCAGAATCTTATTTGTGATGTGCGCCCTCAACTAACAGTGTTGAAGCTTTCTTTTGATAGAGCAGTTTTGAAACACTCTTTTCGTAAAATCTGCAAGAGGATATTTTGATAGCTTTGAGGATTTCGTTGGAAACGAGATTGTCTTCATATAAACTCTACACAGAAGCATTCTCAGAAGCTTCATTGGGATGTTTCAATTGAAGTCACAGTGTTGAACAGTCCCTGTCATACAGCAGGTTTGAAAAACTCTTTTTGTAGTATCTGGAAGTGGACATTTGGAGAGATCTCAGGAATACGGTGATAAAGGAAATATCTTCCAATAAAAGCTAGATAGAAGCAATGTCAGAAACTTTTTCATGATGTATCCACTCAGCTAACAGAGTTGAACCTTTCTTTTGAGAGAGCAGTTTTGAAACACTCTTTTTGTAGTATCTGGAAGTGGACATTTGGAGCGTTCTCAGGACTGCGGTGAAAAAGGAAATATCTTCCAATAAAAGCTAGATAGAAGCAATGTCAGCAACTTTTTCATGATGTATCTACTCAGCTAACAGAGTTGAACCTTTCTTTTGAGAGAGCAGTTTTGAAACACTCTTTTTGTGGAATCTGCAAGTGGATATTTGTCTAGCTTTGAGGATTTCGTTGGAAACGGGATTACATTTAAAAAGCAGACAGCAGCATTCCCAGAACTTCTTTGTGATGTTTGCATTCAAGTCACAGAGTTGAACATTCCCTTTCATAGAGCAGGTTTGAAACACTCTTTTTGTAGTATCTGTATGTGGACATTTGGAGCGCTTTCAGGCCTATGGTGAAAAAGGAAATATCTTCCCCTGAAAACTAGACAGAAGCATTCTCAGAAACTTATTTGTGATGTGCGCCCTCAACTAACAGTGTTGAACCTTTCTTTTGATAGAGCAGTTTTGAAACACTCTTTTTGTAATATCTGCAAGAGGATATTTGGATAGCTTTGAGGATTTCGTTGGAAACGGGATTGTCTTCATATAAACTCTAGACAGAAGCATTCTCAGAAGCTTCAATGGGATGTTTCAATTGAAGTCACAGTGTTGAAGAGTTCCTTTCATAGAGCAGGTTTGAAACACTCTTTTTGTAGTATCTGGAAGTGGACATTTGGAGCGCTCTCAGGACTAAGGTGATAAAGGATATATCTTCCAATAAAAGCTAGATTGAAGCAATGTCAGAAACTTTTTCATGACGTATCTACTCAGCTAACAGAGTTGAAACTTTCCTTTGAGAGAGCAGTTTTGAAACACTCTTTTTGTGGAATCTGCAAGTGGATATTTGTCTAGCTTTGAGGATTTCGTTGGAAACGGGATTACATATAAAAAGCAGACAGCAGCATTCCCAGTAACTTCTTTGTGATGTTTGCATTCAAGTCACAGAGTTGAACATTCCCTTTCATAGAGCAGGTTTGAAACACTCTTTTTGTAGTATCTGTATGTGGACATTTGGAGCGCTTTCAGTCCTATGGTGAAAAAGGAAATATCTTCCCCTGAAAACTAGACAGAAGCATTCTCAGAAACTTATTTGTGATGTGCGCCCTCAACTAACAGTGTTGAACCTTTCTTTTGATAGAGCAGTTTTGAAACACTCTTTTTGTAATATCTGCAAGAGGATATTTGGATAGATTTGAGGATTTCTTTGGAAAGGGGATTGTCTTCATATAAACTCTAGACAGAAGCATTCTCAGAAGCTTCATTGGGATGTTTCAATTGAAGTCACAGTGTTGAACAGTTCCTTTCATAGAGCAGGTTTGAAACACTCTTTTTGTAGTATCTGGAAGTGGACATTTGCAGCGCTCTCAGGACTACGGTGATAAAGGAAATATCTTCCAATAAAAGCTAGATAGAAGCAATGTCAGAAACTTTTTCATGATGTATCTACTCAGCTAACAGAGTTGAAACTTTCCTTTGAGAGAGCAGTTTTGAAACACTCTTTTTGTGGAATCTGCAAGTGGATATTTGTCTAGCTTTGAGGATTTCGTTGGAAACGGGATTACACATAAAAAGCAGACAGCAGCATTCCCATTAACTTCTTTGTGATGTTTGCATTCAAGTCACAGAGTTGAACATTCCCTTTCATAGAGCAGGTTTGAAACACTCTTTTTGTAGTATCTGGATGTGGACATTTGGAGCGCTTTCAGGCCTATGGTGAAAAAGGAAATATCTTCCCCTGAAAACTAGACAGAAGCATTCTCAGAAACTTATTTGTGATGTGCGCCCTCAACTAACAGTGTTGAACCTTTCTTTTGATAGAGCAGTTTTGAAACACTCTTTTTGTAATATCTGCAAGAGGATATTTGGATAGCTTTGAGGATTTCGTTGGAAACGGGATTGACTTCATATAAACTCTAGACAGAAGCATTCTCAGAAGCTTCATTGGGATGTTTCAATTGAAGTCACAGTGTTGAACAGTCCCTTTCATAGAGCAGGTTTGAAACACTCTTTTTGTAGTATCTGGAAGTGGACATTTGGAGAGATCTCAGGAATAAGGTGACAAAGGAAATATCTTCCAATAAAAGCTAGATAGAAGCAATGTCAGAAAATTTCTCATGATGTATCTACTCAGCTAACAGAGTTGAACCTTTCTTTTGAGAGAGCAGTTTTGAAACACTCTTTTTGTGGAATCTGCAAGTGGATATTTGTCTAGCTTTGAGGATATCGTTGGAAACGGGATTACATATAAAAAGCAGACAGCAGCATTCCCAGTAACTTCTTTGTGATGTTTGCATTCAAGTCACAGAGTTGAACATTCCCTTTCATAGAGCAGGTTTGAAACACTCTTTTTGTAGTATCTGGATGTGGACATTTGGAGCGCTTTCAGGCCTATGGTGAAAAAGGAAATATCTTCCCCTGAAAACTAGACAGAAGCATTCTCAGAATCTTATTTGTGATGTGCGCCCTCAACTAACAGTGTTGAAGCTTTCTTT
This sequence comes from Homo sapiens, assembly GCF_000001405.40. Taxonomy (NCBI): domain Eukaryota; kingdom Metazoa; phylum Chordata; class Mammalia; order Primates; family Hominidae; genus Homo; species Homo sapiens. The sequence continues at coordinate 114,440 of NT_187371.1, forward strand.
TGATAGAGCAGTTTTGAAACACCCTTTTTGTAAAATCTGCAAGAGGATATTTGGATAGCTTTGAGGATTTCGTTGGAAACAGGATTGTCTTCATATAAACTCTAGACAGAAGCATTCTCAGAAGCTTCATTGGGATGTTTCAATTGAAGTCACAGTGTTGAACAGTCCCTTTCATAGAGCAGGTTTGAAACACTCTTTTTGTAGTATCTGGAAGTGGACATTTGGAGCGCTCTCAGGACTACAGTGAAAAAGGAAATATCTTCCAATAAAGGCTACATAGAAGCAATGTCAGAAACTTTTTCATGATGTATCTACTCAGCTAACAGATTTGAACCTTTCTTTTGAGAGAGCAGTTTTGAAACACTCTTTTTGTGGAATCTGCAAGTGGATATTTGTCTAGCTTTGAGGATTTCGTTGGAAACGGGATTACATATAAAAAGCAGACAGCAGCATTCCCAGAAACTTCTTTGTGATGTTTGCATTCAAGTCACAGAGTTGAACATTCCCTTTCATAGAGCAGGTTTGAAACACTCTTTTTGTAGTATCTGTATGTGGACATTTGGAGCGCTTTCAGGCCTATGGTGAAAAAGGAAATATCTTCCCCTGAAAATTAGACAGAAGCATTCTCAGAAATTTATTTGTGATGTGCGCCCTCAACTAACAGTGTTGAAGCTTTCTTTTGATAGCGCAGTTTTGAAACACTCTTTTTGTAAAATCTGCAAGAGGATATTTGGATAGCTTTGAGGATTTCGTTGGAAACGGGATTGTCTTCATATAAACTCTAGACAGAAGCATTCTCAGAAGCTTCATTGGGATGTTTCAATTGAAGTCACAGTGTTGAACAGTCCCTTTCATAGAGCAGGTTTGAAACACTCTTTTTGTAGTATCTGGAAGTGGACATTTGGAGCGCTCTCAGGACTGCGGTGAAAAAGGAAATATCTTCCAATAAAAGCTAGATAGAAGCAATGTCAGAAACTTTTTCATGATGTATCTACTCAGCTAACAGAGTTGAACCTTCCTTTGAGAGAGCAGTTTTGAAACACTCTTTTTGTGAAATCTGCAAGTGGATATTTGTCTAGCTTTGAGGATTTCGTTGGAAACGGGATTACATATAAAAAGCAGACAGCAGTATTCCCAGTAACTTCTTTGTGATGTTTGCATTCAAGTCACAGAGTTGAACATTCCCTTTCATAGAGCAGGTTTGAAACACTCTTTTTGTAGTATCTGGATGTGGACATTTGGAGTGCTTTCAGGCCTATGGTGAAAAAGGAAATATCTTCCCCTGAAAACTAGACAGAAGCATTCTCAGAATCTTATTTGTGATGTGCGCCCTCAACTAACAGTGTTGAAGTTTTCTTTTGATAGAGCAGTTTTGAAACACTCTTTTTGTAAAATCTGCAAGAGTATATTTGGATAGCTTTGAGGATTTCGTTGGAAACGGGATTGTCTTCATATAAACTCTAGACAGAAGCATTCTCAGAAGCCTCATTGGGATGTTTCAATTGAAGTCACAGTGTTGAACAGTCCCTTTCATAGAGCAGGTTTGAAACACTCTTTTTGTAGTATCTGGATGTGGACATTTGGAGCGCTTTCAGGCCTATGGTGAAAAAGGAAATATCTTCCCCTGAAAACTAGACAGAAGCATTCTCAGAATCTTATTTGTGATGTGCGCCCTCAACTAACAGTGTTGAAGCTTTCTTTTGATAGAGCAGTTTTGAAACACTCTTTTTGTGGAATCTGCAAGTGGATATTTGTCTAGCTTTGAGGATTTCGTTGGAAACGGGATTACATATAAAAAGCAGACAGCAGCATTCCCAGAAACTTCTTTGTGATGTTTGCATTCAAGTCACAGAGTTGAACATTCCCTTTCATAGAGCAGGTTTGAAACACTCTTTTTGTAGTATCTGGATGTGGACATTTGGACCGCTTTCAGGCCTATGGTGAAAAAGGAAATATCTTCCCCTGAAAACTAGACAGAAGCATTCTCAGAAACTTATTTGTGATGTGCGCCCTCAACTAACAGTGTTGAAGCTTTCTTTTGATAGAGCAGTTTTGAAACACTCTTTTTGTAATATCTGCAAGAGGATATTTGGATAGCTTTGAGGATTTCGTTGGAAACGGGATTGTCTTCATATAAACTCTAGACAGAAGCATTCTCAGAAGCTTCATTGGGATGTTTCAATTGAAGTCACAGTGTTGAACAGTCCCTTTCATAGAGCAGGTTTGAAACACTCTTTTTGTAGTATCTGGAAGTGGACATTTGGAGCGCTCTCAGGACTGCGGTGAAAAAGGAAATATCTTCCAATAAAAGCTAGATAGAAGCAATGTCAGAAACTTTTTCATGATGTATCTACTCAGCTAACAGAGTTGAACCTTCCTTTGAGAGAGCAGTTTTGAAACACTCTTTTTGTGGAATCTGCAAGTGGATATTTGTCTAGCTTTGAGGATTTCGTTGGAAACGGGATTACATATAAAAAGCAGACAGCAGCATTCCCAGAAACTTCTTTGTGATGTTTGCATTCAAGTCACAGAGTTGAACATTCCCTTTCATAGAGCAGGATTGAAACACTCTTTTTGTAGTATCTGGATGTGGACATTTGGAGCGCTTTCAGGCCTAAGGTGAAAAAGGAAATATCTTCCCCTGAAAACTAGACAGAAGCATTCTCAGAAACTTATTTGTGATGTGCGCCCTCAACTAACAGTGTTGAAGCTTTCTTTTGATAGAGCAGTTTTGAAACACTCTTTTTGTGGAATCTGCAAGTGGATATTTTTCTAGCTTTGAGGATTTCGTTGGAAACGGGATTACATATAAAAAGCAGACAGCAGCATTCCCAGAATCTTGTTTGTGATGTTTGCATTCAACTCACAGAGTTGAACATTCCCTTTCAGAGAGCAGGTTTGAAACACTCTTTTTATAGTATCTGGATGTGGACATTTGGAGCGCTTTCAGGCCTATGGTGAAAAAGGAAATATCTTCTCCTGAAAACTAGACAGAAGCATTCTCAGAATCTTATTTGTGATGTGCTCCCTCAACTAACAGTGTTGAAGCTTTCTTTTGATAGAGCAGTTTTGAAACACTCTTTTCGTAAAATCTGCAAGAGGATATTTTGATAGATTTGAGGATTTCGTTGGAAACGGGATTGTCTTCATATAAACTCTAGACAGAAGCATTCTCAGAAGCTTCATTGGGATGTTTCAATTGAAGTCACAGTGTTGAACAGTCCCTGTCATAGAGCAGGTTTGAAACACTCTTTTTGTAGTATCTGGAACTGGACATTTGGAGAGATCTCAGGAATACGGTGATAAAGGAAATATCTTCCAATAAAAGCTAGATAGAAGCAATGTCAGAAACTTTTTCATGATGTATCTACTCAGCTAACAGAGTTGAACCTTTCTTTTGAGAGAGCAGTTTTGAAACACTCTTTTTGTAGTATCTGGAAGTGGACATTTGGAGCGCTCTCAGGACTGCGGTGAAAAAGGAAATATCTTCCAATAAAAGCTAGATAGAACCAATGTCAGAAACTTTTTCATGATGTATCCACTCAGCTAACAGAGTTGAACCTTTCTTTTGAGAGAGCAGTTTTGAAACACTCTTTTTGTGGAATCTGCAAGTGGATATTTGTCTACATTTGAGGATTTCGTTGGAAACGGGATTACATATAAAAAGCAGACAGCAGCATTCCCAGAAACTTCTTTGTGATGTTTGCATTCAAGTCACAGAGTTGAACATTCCCTTTCATAGAGCAGGTTTGAAACACTCTTTTTGTAGAATCTGTATGTGGACATTTGGAGCGCTTTCAGGCCTATGGTGAAAAAGGAAATATCTTCCCCTGAAAACTAGACAGAAGCATTCTCAGAAACTTATTTGTGATGTGCGCCCTCAACTAACAGTGTTGAACCTTTCTTTTGATAGAGCAGTTTTGAAACACTCTTTTTGTAATATCTGCAAGAGGATATTTGGATAGCTTTGAGGATTTCGTTGGAAACGGGATTGTCTTCATATAAACTCTAGACAGAAGCATTCTCAGAAGCTTCAATGGGATGTTTCAATTGAAGTCACAGTGTTGAACAGTTCCTTTCATAGAGCAGGTTTGAAACACTCTTTTTGTAGTATCTGGAAGTGGACATTTGGAGCGCTCTCAGGACTAAGGTGATAAAGGAAATATCTTCCAATAAAAGCTAGATTGAAGCAATGTCAGAAACTTTTTCATGACGTATCTACTCAGCTAACAGAGTTGAAACTTTCCTTTGAGAGAGCAGTTTTGAAACACTCTTTTTGTGGAATCTGCAAGTGGATATTTGTCTAGCTTTGAGGATTTCGTTGGAAACGGGATTACATATAAAAAGCAGACAGCAGCATTCCCAGTAACTTCTTTGTGATGTTTGCATTCAAGTCACAGAGTTGAACATTCCCTTTCATAGAGCAGGTTTGAAACACTCTTTTTGTAGTATCTGGATGTGGACATTTGGAGCGCTTTCAGGCCTATGGTGAAAAAGGAAATATCTTCTCCTGAAAACTAGACAGAAGCATTCTCAGAATCTTATTTGTGATGTGCGCCCTCAACTAACAGTGTTGAAGCTTTCTTTTGATAGAGCAGTTTTGAAACACTCTTTTCGTAAAATCTGCAAGAGGATATTTTGATAGCTTTGAGGATTTCGTTGGAAACGAGATTGTCTTCATATAAACTCTACACAGAAGCATTCTCAGAAGCTTCATTGGGATGTTTCAATTGAAGTCACAGTGTTGAACAGTCCCTGTCATACAGCAGGTTTGAAAAACTCTTTTTGTAGTATCTGGAAGTGGACATTTGGAGAGATATCAGGAATACGGTGATAAAGGAAATATCTTCCAATAAAAGCTAGATAGAGGCAATGTCAGAAACTTTTTCATGATGTATCTACTCAGCTAACAGAGTTGAACCTTTCTTTTGAGAGAGCAGTTTTGAAACACTCTTTTTGTAGTATCTGGAAGTGGACATTTGGAGCGTTCTCAGGACTACGGTGAAAAAGGAAATATCTTCCAATAAAAGCTAGATAGAAGCAATGTCAGCAACTTTTTCATGATGTATCTACTCAGCTAACAGAGTTGAACCTTTCTTTTGAGAGAGCAGTTTTGAAACACTCTTTTTGTGGAATCTGCAAGTGGATATTTGTCTAGCTTTGAGGATTTCGTTGGAAACGGGATTACATTTAAAAAGCAGACAGCAGCATTCCCAGAACTTCTTTGTGATGTTTGCATTCAAGTCACAGAGTTGAACATTCCCTTTCATAGAGCAGGTTTGAAACACTCTTTTTGTAGTATCTGTATGTGGACATTTGGAGCGCTTTCAGGCCTATGGTGAAAAAGGAAATATCTTCCCCTGAAAACTAGACAGAAGCATTCTCAGAATCTTATTTGTGATGTGCGCCCTCAACTAACAGTGTTGAACCTTTCTTTTGATAGAGCAGTTTTGAAACACTCTTTTTGTAATATCTGCAAGAGGATATTTGGATAGCTTTGAGGATTTCGTTGGAAACGGGATTGTCTTCATATAAACTCTAGACAGAAGCATTCTCAGAAGCTTCATTGGGATGTTTCAATTGAAGTCACAGTGTTGAACAGTCCCTTTCATAGAGCAGGTTTGAAACACTCTTTTTGTAGTATCTGGAAGTGGACATTTGGAGAGATCTCAGGAATACGGTGATAAAGGAAATATCTTCCAATAAAAGCTAGATAGAAGCAATGTCAGAAACTTTTTCATGATGTATCTACTCAGCTAACAGAGTTGAACCTTTCTTTTGCGAGAGCAGTTTTGAAACACTCTTTTTGTGGAATCTGCAAGTGGATATTTGTCTAGCTTTGAGGATTTCGTTGGAAACGGGATTACATATAAAAAGCAGACAGCAGCATTCCCAGAAACTTCTTTGTGATGTTTGCCTTCAAGTCACAGAGTTGAACATTCCCTTTCATAGAGCAGTTTTGAAACACTCTTTTTGTAGTATCTGTATGTGGACATTTGGAGCGCTTTCAGGCCTATGGTGAAAAAGGAAATATCTTCCCCTGAAAACTAGACAGAAGCATTCTCAGAAACTTATTTGTAATGTGCGCCCTCAACTAACAGTGTTGAACTTTTCTTTTGATAGAGCAGTTTTGAAACACTCTTTTTGTAATATCTGCAAGAGGATATTTGGATAGCTTTGAGGATTTCGTTGGAAACGGGATTGTCTTCATATAAACTCTAGACAGAAGCATTCTCAGAAGCTTCATTGGGATGTTTCAATTGAAGTCACAGTGTTGAACAGTCCCTTTCATAGAGCAGGTTTGAAACACTCTTTTTGTAGTATCTGGATGTGGACATTTGGAGCGCTTTAAGGCCTATGGTGAAAAAGGAAATATCTTCCCCTGAAAACTAGACAGAAGCATTCTCAGAAACTTATTTGTGATGTGCGCCCTCAGCTAACAGTGTTGAAGCTTTCTTTTGATAGAGCAGTTTTGAAACACTCTTTTTGTGGAATCTGCAAGTGGATATTTGTCTAGCTTTGATTATTTCGTTGGAAACGGGATTACACATAAAAAGCAGACAGCAGCATTCCCAGTAACTTCTTTGTGATGTTTGCATTCAAGTCACAGAGTTGAACATTCCCTTTCATAGAGCAGGTTTGAAACACTCTTTTTGTAGTATCTGGATGTGGACATTTGGAGCGCTTTCAGGCCTATGGTGAAAAAGGAAATATCTTCCCCTGAAAACTAGACAGAAGCATTCTCAGAAACTTATTTGTGATGTGCGCCCTCAACTAACAGTGTTGAAGCTTTCTTTTGATAGAGCAGTTTTGAAACACTCTTTTTGTAATATCTGCAAGAGGATATTTGGATAGCTTTGAGGATTTCGTTGGAAACGGGATTGACTTCATATAAACTCTAGACAGAAGCATTCTCAGAAGCTTCATTGGGATGTTTCAATTGAAGTCACAGTGTTGAACAGTCCCTTTCATAGAGCAGGTTTGAAACACTCTTTTTGTAGTATCTGGAAGTGGACATTTGGAGAGATCTCAGGAATAAGGTGACAAAGGAAATATCTTCCAATAAAAGCTAGATAGAAGCAATGTCAGAAAATTTCTCATGATGTATCTACTCAGCTAACAGAGTTGAACCTTTGTTTTGAGAGAGCAGTTTTGAAACACTCTTTTTGTGGAATCTGCAAGTGGATATTTGTCTAGCTTTGAGGATATCGTTGGAAACGGGATTACATATAAAAAGCAGACAGCAGCATTCCCAGTAACTTCTTTGTGATGTTTGCATTCAAGTCACAGAGTTGAACATTCCCTTTCATAGAGCAGGTTTGAAACACTCTTTTTGTAGTATCTGGATGTGGACATTTGGAGCGCTTTCAGGCCTATGGTGAAAAAGGAAATATCTTCCCCTGAAAACTAGACAGAAGCATTCTCAGAATCTTATTTGTGATGTGCGCCCTCAACTAACAGTGTTGAAGCTTTCTTTTGATAGAGCAGTTTTGAAACACTCTTTTTGTAAAATCTGCAAGAGGATATTTGGATAGCTTTGAGGATTTCGTTGGAAACAGGATTGTCTTCATATAAACTCTAGACAGAAGCATTCTCAGAAGCTTCATTGGGATGTTTCAATTGAAGTCACAGTGTTGAACAGTCCCTTTCATAGAGCAGGTTTGAAACACTCTTTTTGTAGTATCTGGAAGTGGACATTTGGAGCGCTCTCAGGACTACGGTGAAAAAGGAAATATCTTCCAATAAAGGCTACATAGAAGCAATGTCAGAAACTTTTTCATGATGTATCTACTCAGCTAACAGATTTGAACCTTTCTTTTGAGAGAGCAGTTTTGAAACACTCTTTTTGTGGAATCTGCAAGTGGATATTTGTCTAGCTTTGAGGATTTCGTTGGAAACGGGATTACATATAAAAAGCAGACAGCAGCATTCCCAGAAACTTCTTTGTGATGTTTGCATTCAAGTCACAGAGTTGAACATTCCCTTTCATAGAGCAGGTTTGAAACACTCTTTTTGTAGTATCTGTATGTGGACATTTGGAGCGCTTTCAGGCCTATGGTGAAAAAGGAAATATCTTCCCCTGAAAATTAGACAGAAGCATTCTCAGAAATTTATTTGTGATGTGCGCCCTCAACTAACAGTGTTGAAGCTTTCTTTTGATAGCGCAGTTTTGAAACACTCTTTTTGTAAAATCTGCAAGAGGATATTTGGATAGCTTTGAGGATTTCGTTGGAAACGGGATTGTCTTCATATAAACTCTAGACAGAAGCATTCTCAGAAGCTTCATTGGGATGTTTCAATTGAAGTCACAGTGTTGAACAGTCCCTTTCATAGAGCAGGTTTGAAACACTCTTTTTGTAGTATCTGGATGTGGACATTTGGAGCGCTTTAAGGCCTATGGTGAAAAAGGAAATATCTTCCCCTGAAAACTAGACAGAAGCATTCTCAGAAACTTATTTGTGATGTGCGCCCTCAGCTAACAGTGTTGAAGCTTTCTTTTGATAGAGCAGTTTTGAAACACTCTTTTTGTGGAATCTGCAAGTGGATATTTGTCTAGCTTTGATTATTTCGTTGGAAACGAGATTACACATAAAAAGCAGACAGCAGCATTCCCAGTAACTTCTTTGTGATGTTTGCATTCAAGTCACAGAGTTGAACATTCCCTTTCATAGAGCAGGTTTGAAACACTCTTTTTGTAGTATCTGGATGTGGACATTTGGAGCGCTTTCAGGCCTATGGTGAAAAAGGAAATATCTTCCCCTGAAAACTAGACAGAAGCATTCTCAGAAACTTATTTGTGATGTGCGCCCTCAACTAACAGTGTTGAACCTTTCTTTTGATAGAGCAGTTTTGAAACACTCTTTTTGTAATATCTGCAAGAGGATATTTGGATAGCTTTGAGGATTTCGTTGGAAACGGGATTGACTTCATATAAACTCTAGACAGAAGCATTCTCAGAAGCTTCATTGGGATGTTTCAATTGAAGTCACAGTGTTGAACAGTCCCTTTCATAGAGCAGGTTTGAAACACTCTTTTTGTAGTATCTGGAAGTGGACATTTGGAGAGATCTCAGGAATAAGGTGACAAAGGAAATATCTTCCAATAAAAGCTAGATAGAAGCAATGTCAGAAAATTTCTCATGATGTATCTACTCAGCTAACAGAGTTGAACCTTCTTTTGAGAGAGCAGTTTTGAAACACTCTTTTTGTGGAATCTGCAAGTGGATATTTGTCTAGCTTTGAGGATATCGTTGGAAACGGGATTACATATAAAAAGCAGACAGCAGCATTCCCAGAAACTTCTTTGTGATGTTTGCATTCAAGTCACAGAGTTGAACATTCCCTTTCATAGAGCAGGTTTGAAACACTCTTTTTGTAGTATCTGGATGTGGACATTTGGAGCGCTTTCAGGCCTATGGTGAAAAAGGAAATATCTTCCCCTGAAAATTAGACAGAAGCATTCTCAGAAATTTATTTGTGATGTGCGCCCTCAACTAACAGTGTTGAAGCTTTCTTTTGATAGCGCAGTTTTGAAACACTCTTTTTGTAAAATCTGCAAGAGGATATTTGGATAGCTTTGAGGATTTCGTTGGAAACGGGATTGTCTTCATATAAACTCTAGACAGAAGCATTCTCAGAAGCTTCATTGGGATGTTTCAATTGAAGTCACAGTGTTGAACAGTCCCTTTCATAGAGCAGGTTTGAAACACTCTTTTTGTAGTATCTGGAAGTGGACATTTGGAGCGCTCTCAGGACTGCGGTGAAAAAGGAAATATCTTCCAATAAAAGCTAGATAGAAGCAATGTCAGAAACTTTTTCATGATGTATCTACTCAGCTAACAGAGTCGAACCTTCCTTTGAGAGAGCAGTTTTGAAACACTCTTTTTGTGAAATCTGCAAGTGGATATTTGTCTAGCTTTGAGGATTTCGTTGGAAACGGGATTACATATAAAAAGCAGACAGCAGTATTCCCAGTAACTTCTTTGTGATGTTTGCATTCAAGTCACAGAGTTGAACATTCCCTTTCATAGAGCAGGTTTGAAACACTCTTTTTGTAGTATCTGGATGTGGACATTTGGAGTGCTTTCAGGCCTATGGTGAAAAAGGAAATATCTTCCCCTGAAAACTAGACAGAAGCATTCTCAGAATCTTATTTGTGATGTGCGCCCTCAACTAACAGTGTTGAAGTTTTCTTTTGATAGAGCAGTTTTGAAACACTCTTTTTGTAAAATCTGCAAGAGTATATTTGGATAGCTTTGAGGATTTCGTTGGAAACGGGATTGTCTTCATATAAACTCTAGACAGAAGCATTCTCAGAAGCCTCATTGGGATGTTTCAATTGAAGTCACAGTGTTGAACAGTCCCTTTCATAGAGCAGGTTTGAAACACTCTTTTTGTAGTATCTGGATGTGGACATTTGGAGCGCTTTCAGGCCTATGGTGAAAAAGGAAATATCTTCCCCTGAAAACTAGACAGAAGCATTCTCAGAAACTTATTTGTGATGTGCGCCCTCAACTAACAGTGTTGAAGCTTTCTTTTGATAGAGCAGTTTTGAAACACTCTTTTTGTGGAATCTGCAAGTGGATATTTGTCTAGCTTTGAGGATTTCGTTGGAAACGGGATTACATATAAAAAGCAGACAGCAGCATTCCCAGAAACTTCTTTGTGATGTTTGCATTCAAGTCACAGAGTTGAACTTTCCCTTTCATAGAGCAGGTTTGAAACACTCTTTTTGTAGTATCTGTATGTGCACATTTGGAGCGCTTTCAGGCCTATGGTGAAAAAGGAAATATCTTCCCCTGAAAACTAGACAGAAGCATTCTCAGAATCTTATTTGTGATGTGCGCCCTCAACTAACAGTGTTGAAGCTTTCTTTTGATAGAGCAGTTTTGAAACACTCTTTTTGTAAAATCTGCAAGAGGATATTTGGATAGCTTTGAGGATTTCATTGGAAACGGGATTGTCTTCATATAAACTCTAGACAGAAGCATTCTCAGAAGCTTCATTGGGATGTTTCAATTGAAGTCACAGTGTTGAACAGTCCCTTTCATAGAGCAGGTTTGAAACACTCTTTTTGTAGTATCTGGAAGTGGACATTTGGAGAGATCTCAGGACTACGGTGAAAAAGGAAATATCTTCCAATAAAAGCTAGATAGAAGCAATGTCAGAAACTTTTTCATGATGTGTCTACTCAGCTAACAGAGTTGAACCTTTCTTTTGAGAGAGCAGTTTTGAAACCCTCTTTTTGTGGAATCTGCAAGTGGATATTTGTCTAGTTTTGAGGATTTCGTTGGAAACGGATTACATATAAAAAGCAGACAGCAGCATTCCCAGAAACTTCTTTGTGATGTTTGCATTCAAGTCACAGAGTTGAACATTCCCTTTCATAGAGCAGGTTTGAAACACTCTTTTTGTAGTATCTGGATGTGGACATTTGGAGCGCTTTCAGGCCAATGGTGTAAAAGGAAATATCTTCCCCTGAAAACTAGACAGAAGCATTCTCAGAATCTTATTTGTGATGTGCGCCCTCAACTAACAGTGTTGAAGCTTTCTTTTGATAGAGCAGTTTTGAAACACTCTTTTTGTAATATCTGCAAGAGGATATTTCGATAGCTTTGAGGATTTCGTTGGAAACGGGATTGTCTTCATATAAACTCTAGACAGAAGCATTCTCAGAACCTTCATTGGGATGTTTCAATTGAAGTCACAGTGTTGAACAGTTCCTTTCATGGAGCAGGTTTGGAACAGTCTTTTTGTAGTATCTGGAAGTGGACATTTGGAGCGCTCTCAGGAATACGGTGAAAAAGGAAATATCTTCCAATAAAAGCTACATAGAAGCAATGTCAGAAACTTTTTCATGATGTATCTACTCAGCTAACAGAGTTGAACCTTTCTTTTGAGAGAGCAGTTTTGAAACACTCTTTTTGTGGAATCTGCAAGTGGATATTTGTCTAGCTTTGAGGATTTCGTTGGAAACGTGATTACATATAAAAAGCAGACAGCAGCATTCCCAGTAACTTCTTTGTGATGTTTGCATTCAAGTCACAGAGTTGAACATTCCCTTTCATAGAGCAGGTTTGAAACACTCTTTTTGTAGTATCTGGATGTGGAGATTTGGAGCGCTTTCAGGCCTATGGTGAAAAAGGAAATATCTTCCCCTGAAAACTAGACAGAAGCATTCTCAGAAACTTATTTGTGACGTGCGCCATCAACTAAGAGTGTTGAACCTTTCTTTTCATAGAGCAGTTTTGAAACACTCTTTTTGTAATATCTGCAAGAGGATATTTGGATAGCTTTGAGGATTTCGTTGGAAACGGGATTGTCTTCATATAAACTCTAGACAGAAGCATTCTCAGAAGCTTCATTGGGATGTTTCAATTGAAGTCACAGTGTTGAACAGTCCCTTTCATAGAGCAGGTTTGAAACACTCTTTTTGTAGTATCTGGAAGTGGACATTTGGAGAGATCTCAGGAATACGGTGATAAAGGAAATATCTTCCAATAAAAGCTAGATAGAAGCAATGTCAGAAACTTTTTCATGATGTATCTACTCAGCTAACAGAGTTGAACCTTTCCTTTGAGAGAGCAGTTTTGAAACACTCTTTTTGTGGAATCTGCAAGTGGATATTTGTCTAGCTTTGAGGATTTCGTTGGAAACGGGATTACATATAAAAAGCAGACAGCAGCATTCCCAGTAACTTCTTTGTGATGTTTGCATTCAAGTCACAGAGTTGAACATTCCCTTTCATGGAGGAGGTTTGAAACACTCTTTTTGTAGTATCTGGATGTGGACATTTGGAGCGCTTTCAGGCCTATGGTGAAAAAGGAAATATCTTCCACTGAAAACTAGACAGAAGCATTCTCAGAATCTTATTTGTGATGTGCGCCCTCAACTAACAGTGTTGAAGCTTTCTTTTGATAGAGCAGTTTTGAAACACTCTTTTTGTAAAATCTGCAAGAGGATATTTGGATAGCTTTGAGGATTTCGTTGGAAACGGGATTGTCTTCATATAAACTCTAGACAGAAGCATTCTCAGAAGCTTCATTGGGATGTTTCAATTGAAGTCACAGTGTTGAACAGTCCCTTTCATAGAGCAGGTTTGAAACACTCTTTTTGTAGTATCTGGAAGTGGACATTTGGAGAGATCTCAGGAATACGGTGATAAAGGAAATATCTTCCAATAAAAGCTAGATAGAAGCAATGTCAGAAACTTTTTCATGATGTATCTACTCAGCTAACAGAGTTGAACCTTTCTTTTGCGAGAGCAGTTTTGAAACACTCTTTTTGTGGAATCTGCAAGTGGATATTTGTCTAGCTTTGAGGATTTCGTTGGAAACGGGATTACATATAAAAAGCAGACAGCAGCATTCCCAGAAACTTCTTTGTGATGTTTGCCTTCAAGTCACAGAGTTGAACATTCCCTTTCATAGAGCAGTTTTGAAACACTCTTTTTGTAGTATCTGTATGTGGACATTTGGAGCGCTTTCAGGCCTATGGTGAAAAAGGAAATATCTTCCCCTGAAAACTAGACAGAAGCATTCTCAGAAACTTATTTGTAATGTGCGCCCTCAACTAACAGTGTTGAACTTTTCTTTTGATAGAGCAGTTTTGAAACACTCTTTTTGTAATATCTGCAAGAGGATATTTGGATAGCTTTGAGGATTTCGTTGGAAACGGGATTGTCTTCATATAAACTCTAGACAGAAGCATTCTCAGAAGCTTCATTGGGATGTTTCAATTGAAGTCACAGTGTTGAACAGTTCCTTTCATAGAGCAGGTTTGAAACACTCTTTTTGTAGTATCTGGAAGTGGACATTTGGAGCGCTCTCAGGACGACGGTGAAAAAGGAAATATCTTCCAATAAAAGCTACATAGAAGCAATGTGAGAAACTTTTTCATGACGTATCTACTCAGCTAACAGTGTTGAACCTTTCTTTTGATAGAGCAGTTTTGAAACACTCTTTTTGTGGAATCTGCAAGTGGATATTTGTCTAGCTTTGAGGATTTCGTTGGAAACGGGATTACATATAAAAAGCAGACAGCAGCATTCCCAGTAACTACTTTGTGATGTTTGCATTCAAGTCACAGAGTTGAACATTCCCTTTCATAGAGCAGGTTTGAAACACTCTTTTTGTAGTATCTGGATGTGGACATTTGGAGCGCTTTCAGGCTTATGGTGAAAAAGGAAATATCTTCCCCTGAAAACTAGACAGAAGCATTCTCAGAAAATTATTTGTGATGTGCGCCCTCAACTAACAGTGTTGAACCTTTCTTTTGATAGAGCAGATTTGAAACACTCTTTTTGTAATATCTGCAAGAGGATATTTGGATAGCTTTGAGGATTTCGTTGGAAACGGGATTGTCTTCATATAAACTCTAGACAGAAGCATTCTCAGAAGCTTCATTGGGATGTTTCAATTGAAGTCACAGTGTTGAACAGTCCCTTTCATAGAGCAGGTTTGAAACACTCTTTTTGTAGTATCTGGAAGTGGACATTTGGAGAGATCCGAGGAATACGGTGACAAAGGAAATATCTTCCTATAAAAGCTAGATAGAAGCAATGTCAGAAAATTTTTCATGATGTATCTACTCAGCTAACAGAGTTGAACCTTTCTTTTGAGAGAGCAGTTTTGAAACACTCTTTTTGTGGAATCTGCAAGTGGATATTTGTCTAGCTTTGAGGATTTCGTTGGAAACGGGATTACATATAAAAAGCAGACAACAGCATTCCCAGAAACTTCTTTGTGAAGTTTGCATTCAAGTCACAGAGTTGAACATTCCCTTTCATAGAGCAGGTTTGAAACACTCTTTTTGTAGTATCTGGATGTGGACATTTGGAGCGCGTTCAGGCCTATGGTGAAAAAGGCAATATCTTCCCCCGAAAACTAGACAGAAGCATTCTCAGAATCTTATTTGTGATGTGCGCCCTCAACTAACAGTGTTGAAGATTTCTTTTGATAGAGCAGTTTTGAAACACTCTTTTTGTAAAATCTGCAAGAGGATATTTGGATAGCTTTGAGGATTTCCTTGGAAACGGGATTGTCTTCATATAAACTCTAGACAGAAGCATTCTCAGAAGCTTCATTGGGATGTTTCAATTGAAGTCACAGTGTTGAACAGTCCCTTTCATAGAGCAGGTTTGAAACACTCTTTTTGTAGTATCTGGAAGTGGACATTTGGAGAGATCTCAGGAATACGGTGATAAAGGAAATATCTTCCAATAAAAGCTAGATAGAAGCAATGTCAGAAACTTTTTCATGATGTATCTACTCAGCTAACAGAGTTGAACCTTTCTTTTGCGAGAGCAGTTTTGAAACACTCTTTTTGTGGACTCTGCAAGTGGATATTTGTCTAGCTTTGAGGATTTCGTTGGAAACGGGATTACATATAAAAAGCAGACAGCAGCATTCCCAGAAACTTCTTTGTGATGTTTGCCTTCAAGTCACAGAGTTGAACATTCCCTTTCATAGAGCAGTTTTGAAACACTCTTTTTGTAGTATCTGTATGTGGACATTTGGAGCGCTTTCAGGCCTATGGTGAAAAAGGAAATATCTTCCCCTGAAAACTAGACAGAAGCATTCTCAGAAACTTATTTGTAATGTGCGCCCTCAACTAACAGTGTTGAACTTTTCTTTTGATAGAGCAGTTTTGAAACACTCTTTTTGTAATATCTGCAAGAGGATATTTGGATAGCTTTGAGGATTTCGTTGGAAACGGGATTGTCTTCATATAAACTCTAGACAGAAGCATTCTCAGAAGCTTCATTGGGATGTTTCAATTGAAGTCACAGTGTTGAACAGTTCCTTTCATAGAGCAGGTTTGAAACACTCTTTTTGTAGTATCTGGAAGTGGACATTTGGAGCGCTCTCAGGACGACGGTGAAAAAGGAAATATCTTCCAATAAAAGCTACATAGAAGCAATGTGAGAAACTTTTTCATGACGTATCTACTCAGCTAACAGTGTTGAACCTTTCTTTTGATAGAGCAGTTTTGAAACACTCTTTTTGTGGAATCTGCAAGTGGATATTTGTCTAGCTTTGAGGATTTCGTTGGAAACGGGATTACATATAAAAAGCAGACAGCAGCATTCCCAGTAACTACTTTGTGATGTTTGCATTCAAGTCACAGAGTTGAACATTCCCTTTCATAGAGCAGGTTTGAAACACTCTTTTTGTAGTATCTGGATGTGGACATTTGGAGCGCTTTCAGGCCTGTGGTGAAAAAGGAAATATCTTCTCCTAAAAACTAGACAGAAGCATTCTCAGAATCTTATTTGTGATGTGCGCCCTCAACTAACAGTGTTGAAGCTTTCTTTTGATAGAGCAGTTTTGAAACACTCTTTTTGTAAAATCTGCAAGAGGATATTTGGATAGCTTTGAGGATTTCGTTGGAAACGGGATTGTCTTCATATAAACTCTAGACAGAAGCATTCTCAGAAGCTTCTTTGGGATGTTTCAGTTGAAGTCACAGTGTTGAACAGTCCCTTTCATAGAGCAGGTTTGAAACACTCTTTTTGTAGTATCTGGATGTGGACATTTGGAGCTCTCTCAGGATTGCGGTGAAAAAGGAAATATCTTCCAATAAAAGCTAGATAGAAGCAATGTCAGAAACTTTTTCATGATGTATCTACTCAGCTAACAGAGTTGAACCTTCCTTTGAGAGAGCAGTTTTGAAACACTCTTTTTGTGGAATCTGCAAGTGGATATTTGTCTAGCTTTGAGGATTTCGTTGGAAACGGGATTACATATAAAAAGCAGACAGCAGCATTCCCAGAAACTTCTTTGTGATGTTTGCATTCAAGTCACAGAGTTGAACATTCCCTTTCAGAGAGCAGGTTTGAAACACTCTTTTTATAGTATCTGGATGTGGACATTTGGAGCGCTTTGAGGCCTATGGTGAAAAAGGAAATATCTTCTCCTGAAAACTAGACAGAAGCATTCTCAGAATCTTATTTGTGATGTGCGCCCTCAACTAACACTGTTGAAGCTTTCTTTTGATAGAGCAGTTTTGAAACACTCTTTTCGTAAAATCGGCAAGAGGATATTTTGATAGCTTTGAGGATTTCGTTGGAAACGGGATTGTCTTCATATAAACTCTAGACAGAAGCATTCTCAGAAGCGTCATTGGGATGTTTCAATTGAAGTCACAGTGTTGAACAGTCCCTTTCATAGAGCAGGTTTGAAACACTCTTTTTGTAGTATCTGGATGTGGACATTTGGAGCGCTTTCAGGCCTATGGTTTAAAAGGAAATATCTTCCCCTGAAAACTAGACAGAAGCATTCTCAGAAACTTATTTGTGATGTGCGCCCTCAACTAACAGTGTTGAAGCATTCTTTTGATAGAGCAGTTTTGAAACACTCTTTTTGTGGAATCTGCAAGTGGATATTTTTCTAGCTTTGAGGATTTCGTTGGAAACGGGATTACATATAAAAAGCAGACAGCAGCATTCCCAGAAACTTCTTTGTGAAGTTTGCATTCAAGTCACAGAGTTGAACATTCCCTTTCATAGAGCAGGTTTGAAACACTCTTTTTGTAGTATCTGGATGTGGACATTTGGAGCGCTTTCAGGCCTATGGTGAAAAAGGAAATATCTTCC
Source organism: Homo sapiens (assembly GCF_000001405.40). NCBI lineage: Eukaryota > Metazoa > Chordata > Mammalia > Primates > Hominidae > Homo > Homo sapiens. The sequence goes on from NT_187371.1 coordinate 132,035, forward strand.
CCTGAAAACTATACAGAAGCATTCTCAGAATCTTATTTGTGATGTGCACCCTCAACTAACAGTGTTGAAGCTTTCTTTTGATAGAGCAGTTTTGAAACACTCTTTTTGTAAAATCTGCAAGAGGATATTTGGATAGCTTTGAGGATTTCGTTGGAAACGGGATTGTCTTCATATAAACTCTAGACAGAAGCATTCTCAGAAGCTTCATTGGGATGTTTCAATTGAAGTCACAGTGTTGAACAGTTCCTTTCATAGAACAGGTTTGAAACACTCTTTTTGTAGTATCTGGAAGTGGACATTTGGAGCGCTCTCAGGACTATGGTTAAAAAGGAAATATCTTCCAATAAAAGCTACATAGAAGCAATGTCAGAAACTTTTTCATGATGTATCTACTCAGCTAACAGAGTTGAACCTTTCCTTTGAGAGAGCAGTTTTGAAACACTCTTTTTGTGGAATCTGCAAGTGGATATTTGTCTAGCTTTGAGGATTTCGTTGGAAACGGGATTACATATAAAAAGCAGACAGCAGCATTCCCAGTAACTTCTTTGTGATGTTTGCATTCAAGTCACAGAGTTGAACATTCCCTTTCATAGAGCAGGTTTGAAACACTCTTTTTGTAGTATCTGGATGTGGACATTTGCAGCGCTTTCAGGCCTATGGTGAAAAAGGAAATATCTTCACCTGAAAACTAGACAGAAGCATTCTCAGAAACTTATTTGTGATGTGCGCCCTCAACTAACAGTGTTGAACCTTTCTTTTGATAGAGCAGTTTTGAAACACTCTTTTTGTAATATCTGCAAGAGGATATTTGGATAGCTTTGAGGATTTCGTTGGAAACGGGATTACATATAAAAAGCAGACAGCAGCATTCCCAGAATCTTGTTTGTGATGTTTGCATTCAAGTCACAGAGTTGAACATTCCCTTTCAGAGAGCAGGTTTGAAACACTCTTTTTATAGTATCTGGATGTGGACATTTGGAGCGCTTTCAGGCCTATGGTGAAAAAGGAAATATCTTCCCCTGAAAACTAGACAGAAGCATTCTCAGAATCTTATTTGTGATGTGCGCCCTCAACTAACAGTGTTGAAGCTTTCTTTTGATAGAGCAGTTTTGAAACACTCTTTTCGTAAAATCTGCAAGAGGATATTTTGATAGCTTTGAGGATTTCGTTGGAAACGGGATTGTCTTCATATAAACTCTAGACAGAAGCATTCTCAGAAGCTTCATTGGGATGTTTCAATTGAAGTCACAGTGTTGAACAGTCCCTTTCATAGAGCAGGTTTAAAACACTCTTTTTGTAGTATCTGGAAGTGGACATTTGGAGAGATCTCAGGAATACGGTGATAAAGGAAATATCTTCCAATAAAAGCTAGATAGAAGCAATGTCAGAAACTTTTTCATGATGTATCTACTCAGCTAACAGAGTTGAACCTTTCTTTTGAGAGAGCAGTTTTGAAACACTCTTTTTGTGGAATCTGCAAGTGTATATTTGTCTAGCTTTTAGGATTTCGTTGGAAACGGGATTACATATAAAAAGCAGACAGCAGCATTCCCAGTAACTTCTTTGTGATGTTTGCATTCAAGTCACAGAGTTGAACATTCCCTTTCATAGAGCAGGTTTGAAACACTCTTTTTGTAGTATCTGGATGTGGACATTTGGAGCGCTTTCAGGCCTATGGTGAAAAAGGAAATATCTTCCCCTGAAAACTAGAGAGAAGAATTCTCAGAATCTTATTTGTAATGTGCGCCCTCAACTAACAGTGTTGAAGCTTTCTTTTGATAGAGCAGTTTTGAAACACTCTTTTTGTAAAATCTGAAAGAGGATATTTGGATAGCTTTGAGGATTTCGTTGGAAACGGGATTGTCTTCATATAAACTCTAGACAGAAGCATTCTCAGAAGCGTCATTGGGATGTTTCAATTGAAGTCACAGTGTTGAACAGTCCCTTTCATAGAGCAGGTTTGAAACACTCTTTTTGTAGTATCTGGATGTGGACATTTGGAGCGCTTTCAGGCCTATGGTTTAAAAGGAAATATCTTCCCCTGAAAACTAGACAGAAGCATTCTCAGAAACTTATTTGTGATGTGCGCCCTCAACTAACAGTGTTGAAGCATTCTTTTGATAGAGCAGTTTTGAAACACTCTTTTTGTGGAATCTGCAAGTGGATATTTGTCTAGCTTTGAGGATTTCGTTGGAAACGGGATTACATATAAAAAGCAGACAGCAGCATTCCCAGAAACTTCTTTGTGATGTTTGCATTCAAGTCACAGAGTTGAACATTCCCTTTCATAGAGCAGGTTTGAAACACTCTTTTTGTAGTATCTGGATGTGGACATTTGGAGCGCTTTCAGGCCTATGGTGAAAAAGGAAATATCTTCCCCTGAAAACTAGACAGAAGCATTCTCAGAATCTTATTTGTGATGTGCGCCCTCAACTAACAGTGTTGAAGCTTTCTTTTGATAGAGCAGTTTTGAAACACTCCTTTTGTAAAATCTGCAAGAGGATATTTGGATAGCTTTGAGGATTTCGTTGGAAACGGGATTGTCTTCATATAAACTCTAGACAGAAGCATTCTCAGAAGCTTCATTGGGATGTTTCAATTGAAGTCACAGTGTTGAACAGTCCCTTTCATAGAGCAGGTTTGAAACACTCTTTTTGTAGTATCTGGAAGTGGACATTTGGAGCGCTCTCAGGACTGCGGTGAAAAAGGAAATATCTTCCAATAAAAGCTAGATAGAAGCAATGTCAGAAACTTTTTCATGATGTATCTACTCAGCTAACAGAGTTGAACCTTTCTTTTGAGAGAGCAGTTTTGCAACACTCTTTTTGTGGAATCTGCAAGTGGATATTTGTCTAGCTTTGAGGATTTCGTTGGAAACGGGATTACATATAAAAAGCAGACAGCAGCATTCCCAGAAACTTCTTTGTGATGTTTGCATTCAAGTCACAGAGTTGAACATTCCCTTTCATAGAGCAGGTTTGAAACACTCTTTTTGTAGTATCTGGAAGTGGACATTTGGAGCGCTCTCAGGACTGCGGTGAAAAAGGAAATATCTTCCAATAAAAGCTAGATAGAAGCAATGTCAGAAACTTTTTCATGATGTATCTACTCAGCTAACAGAGTTGAACCTTTCTTTTGAGAGAGCAGTTTTGAAACACTCTTTTTGTGGAATCTGCAAGTGGATATTTGTCTAGCTTTGAGGATTTCGTTGGAAACGGGATTACATATAAAAAGCAGACAGCAGCATTCCCAGTAACTTCTTTGTGATGTTCGCATTCAAGTCACAGAGTTGAACATTCCCTTTCATAGAGCAGGTTTGAAACACTCTTTTTGTAGTATCTGGATGTGGACATTTGGAGCGCTTTCAGGCCTATGGTGAAAAAGGAAATATCTTCCCCTGAAAACTACACAGAAGCATTCTCAGAATCTTATTTGTGATGTGCGCCCTCAACTAACAGTGTTGAAGCTTTCTTTTCATAGAGCAGTTTTGAAACACTCTTTTTGTAAAATCTGCAAGAGGATATTTGGATAGCTTTGAGGATTTCGTTGGAAACGGGATTGTCTTCATATAAACTCTAGACAGAAGCATTCTCAGAAGCTTCATTGGGATGTTTCAATTGAAGTCACAGTGTTGAACAGTCCCTTTCATAGAGCAGGTTTGAAACACTCTTTTTGTAGTATCTGGATGTGGACATTTGGAGCGCTTTCAGGCCTATGGTTTAAAAGGAAATATCTTCCCCTGAAAACTAGAGAGAAGCATTCTCAGAAACTTATTTGTGATGTGCGCCCTCAACAAACAGTGTTGTAGCATTCTTTTGATAGAGCAGTTTTGAAACACTCTTTTTGTGGAATCTGCAAGTGGATATTTGTCTAGTTTTCAGGATTTCGTTGGAAACGGGATTACATATAAAAAGCAGAAAGCAGCATTCCCAGAAACTTCTTTGTGATGTTTGCATTCAAGTCACAGAGTTGAACATTCCCTTTCATAGAGCAGGTTTGAAACACTCTTTTTGTAGTATCTGGATGTGGACATTTGGAGCGCTTTCAGGCCTATGGTGAAAAAGGAAATATCTTCCCCTGAAAACTAGACAGAAGCATTCTCAGAAACTTATTTGTGATGTGCGCCCTCAACTAACAGTGTTGAACCTTTCTTTTGATAGAGCAGTTTTGAAAAACTCTTTTTGTAATATCTGCAAGAGGATATTTGGATAGCTTTGAGGATTTCGTTGGAAACGGGATTACATATAAAAAGCAGACAGCAGCATTCCCAGAATCTTGTTTGTGATGTTTGCATTCAAGTCAGAGAGTTGAACATTCCCTTTCATAGAGCAGGTTTGAAACACTCTTTTTATAGTATCTGGATGTGGACATTTGGAGCGCTTTCAGGCCTATGGTGAAAAAGGATATATCTTCTCCTGAAAACTAGACAGAAGCATTCTCAGAATCTTATTTGTGATGTGCGCCCTCAACTAACAGTGTTGAAGCTTTCTTTTGATAGAGCAGTTTTGAAACACTCTTTTCGTAAAATCTGCAAGAGGATATTTTGATAGCTTTGAGGATTTCGTTGGAAACGGGATTGTCTTCATATAAACTCTAGACAGAAGCATTCTCAGAAGCTTCATTGGGATGTTTCAATTGAAGTCACAGTGTTGAACAGTCCCTTTCATAGAGCAGGTTTGAAACACTCTTTTTGTAGTATCTGGAAGTGGACATTTGGAGAGATCTCAGGAATTCGGTGATAAAGGAAATATCTTCCAATAAAAGCTAGATAGAAGCAATGTCAGAAACTTTTTCATGATGTATCTACTCAGCTGACAGAGTTGAACCTTTCTTTTGAGAGAGCAGTTTTGAAACACTCTTTTTGTGGAATCTGCAAGTGGATATTTGTCTAGCTTTGAGGATTTCGTTGGAAACGGGATTACATATAAAAAGCAGACAGCAGCATTCCCAGAAACTTCTTTCTGATGTTTGCATTCAAGTCACAGAGTTGAACATTCCCTTTCATAGAGCAGGTTTGAAACACTCTTTTTGTAGTATCTGGATGTGGACATTTGGAGCGCTTTCAGGCCTATGGTGAAAAAGGAAATATCTTCCCCTGAAAACTAGACAGAAGAATTCTCAGAATCTTATTTGTGATGTGCGCCCTCAACTAACAGTGTTGAAGCTTTCTTTTGATAGAGCAGTTTTGAAACACTCTTTTTGTAAAATCTGCAAGAGGATATTTGGATAGCCTTGAGGATTTCGTTGGAAACGGGATTGTCTTCATATAAACTCTAGACAGAAGCATTCTCAGAAGCGTCATTGGGATGTTTCAATTGAAGTCACAGTGTTGAACAGTCCCTTTCATAGAGCAGGTTTGAAACACTCTTTTTGTAGTATCTGGAAGTGGACATTTGGAGCGCTCTCAGGACTGCGGTGAAAAAGGAAATATCTTCCAATAAAAGCTAGATAGAAGCAATGTCAGAAACTTTTTCATGATGTATCTACTCAGCTAACAGAGTTGAACCTTCCTTTGAGAGAGCAGTTTTGAAACACTCTTTTTGTGGAATCTGCAAGTGGATATTTGTCTAGCTTTGAGGATTTCGTTGGAAACGGGATTACATATAAAAAGCAGACAGCAGCATTCCCAGAAACTTCTTTGTGAGGTTTGCATTCAAGTCACAGAGTTGAACATTCCCTTTCATAGAGCAGGTTTGAAACACTCTTTTTGTAGTATCTGGATGTGGACATTTGCAGCGCTTTCAGGCCTAAGGTGAAAAAGGAAATATCTTCCCCTGAAAACTAGACAGAAGCATTCTCAGAAACTTATTTGTGATGTGCGCCCTCAACTAACAGTGTTGAAGCTTTCTTTTGATAGAGCAGTTTTGAAACACTCTTTTTGTAATATCTGCAAGAGGATATTAGGATAGCTTTGAGGATTTCGTTGGAAACGGGATTGTCTTCATATAAACTCTAGACAGAAGCATTCTCAGAAGCTTCATTGGGATGTTTCAATTGAAGTCACAGTGTTGAACAGTTCCTTTCATAGAACAGGTTTGAAACACTCTTTTTGTAGTATCTGGAAGTGGACATTTGGAGCACTCTCAGGACTATGGTGAAAAAGGAAATATCTTCCAATAAAAGCTACATAGAAGCAATGTCAGAAACTTTTTCATGATGTATCTACTCAGCTAACAGAGTTGAACCTTTCCTTTGAGAGAGCAGTTTTGAAACACTCTTTTTGTGGAATCTGCAAGTGGATATTTGTCTAGCTTTGAGGATTTCGTTGGAAACGGGATTACATATAAAAAGCAGACAGCAGCATTCCCTGTAACTTCTTTGTGATGTTCGCATTCAAGTCACAGAGTTGAACATTCCCTTTCATAGAGCACGTTTGAAACACTCTTTTTGTAGTATCTGGATGTGGACATTTGGAGCGCTTTCAGGCCTATGGTGAAAAAGGAAATATCTTCCCCTGAAAACTACACAGAAGCATTCTCAGAATCTTATTTGTGATGTGCGCCCTCAACTAACAGTGTTGAAGCTTTCTTTTGATAGAGCAGTTTTGAAACACTCTTTTTGTAAAATCTGCAAGAGGATATTTGGATAGCTTTGAGGATTTCGTTGGAAACGGGATTGTCTTCATATAAACTCTAGACAGAAGCATTCTCAGAAGCTTCATTGGGATGTTTCAATTGAAGTCACAGTGTTGAACAGTCCCTTTCATAGAGCAGGTTTGAAACACTCTTTTTGTAGTATCTGGATGTGGACATTTGGAGCGCTTTCAGGCCTATGGTTTAAAAGGAAATATCTTCCCCTGAAAACTAGACAGAAGCATTCTCAGAAACTTATTTGTGATGTGCGCCCTCAACAAACAGTGTTGTAGCATTCTTTTGATAGAGCAGTTTTGAAACACACTTTTTGTGGAATCTGCAAGTGGATATTTGTCTAGCTTTGAGGATTTCGTTGGAAACGGGATTACATATAAAAAGCAGAAAGCAGCATTCCCAGAAACTTCTTTGTGATGTTTGCATTCAAGTCACAGAGTTGAACATTCCCTTTCATAGAGCAGGTTTGAAACACTCTTTTTGTAGTATCTGGATGTGGACATTTGCAGCGCTTTCAGGCCTATGGTGAAAAAGGAAATATCTTCCCCTGAAAACTAGACAGAAGCATTCTCAGAAACTTATTTGTGATGTGCGCCCTCAACTAACAGTGTTGAACCTTTCTTTTGATAGAGCAGTTTTGAAACACTCTTTTTGTAATATCTGCAAGAGGATATTTGGATAGATTTGAGGATTTCGTTGGAAACGGGATTACATATAAAAAGCAGACAGCAGCTTTCCCAGAATCTTGTTTGTGATGTTTGCATTCAAGTCACAGAGTTGAACATTCCCTTTCATAGAGCAGGTTTGAAACACTCTTTTTATAGTATCTGGATGTGGACATTTGGAGCGCTTTCAGGCCTATGGTGAAAAAGGATATATCTTCTCCTGAAAACTAGACAGAAGCATTCTCAGAATTTTATTTGTGATGTGCGCCCTCAACTAACAGTGTTGAAGCTTTCTTTTGATAGAGCAGTTTTGAAACACTCTTTTTGTAAAATCTGCAAGAGGATATTTTGATAGCTTTGAGGATTTCGTTGGAAACGGGATTGTCTTCATATAAACTCTAGACAGAAGCATTCTCAGAAGCTTCATTGGGATGTTTCAATTGAAGTCACAGTGTTGAACAGTCCCTTTCATAGAGCAGGTTTGAAACACTCTTTTTGTAGTATCTGGAAGAGGACATTTGGAGAGATCTCAGGAATACGGTGATAAAGGAAATATCTTCCAATAAAAGCTAGATAGAAGCAATGTCAGAAACTTTTTCATGATGTATCTACTCAGCTAACAGAGTTGAACCTTTCTTTTGAGAGAGCAGTTTTGAAACACTCTTTTTGTGGAATCTGCAAGTGGATATTTGTCTAGCTTTGAGGATTTCGTTGGAAACGGGATTACATATAAAAAGCAGACAGCAGCATTCCCAGAAACTTCTTTGTGATGTTTGCATTCAAGTCACAGAGTTGAACATTCCCTTTCATAGAGCAGGTTTGAAACACTCTTTTTATAGTATCTGGATGTGGACATTTGGAGCGCTTTCAGGCCTATGGTGAAAAAGGAAATATCTTCCCCTGAAAACTAGACAGAAGCATTCTCAGAATCTTATTTGTGATGTGCGCCCTCAACTAACAGTGTTGAAACTTTCTTTTGATAGAGCAGTTTTGAAACACTCTTTTCGTAAAATCTGCAAGAGGATATTTTGATAGCTTTGAGGATTTCGTTGGAAACGGGATTGTCTTCATATAAACTCTAGACAGAAGCATTCTCAGAAGCTTCATTGGGATGTTTCAATTGAAGTCACAGTGTTGAACAGTCCCTTTCATAGAGCAGGTTTAAAACACTCTTTTTGTAGTATCTGGAAGTGGACATTTGGAGAGATCTCAGGAATACGGTGATAAAGGAAATATCTTCCAATAAAAGCTAGATAGAAGCAATGTCAGAAACTTTTTCATGATGTATCTACTCAGCTAACAGAGTTGAACCTTTCTTTTGAGAGAGCAGTTTTGAAACACTCTTTTTGTGGAATCTGCAAGTGTATATTTGTCTAGCTTTTAGGATTTCGTTGGAAACGGGATTACATATAAAAAGCAGACAGCAGCATTCCCAGTAACTTCTTTGTGATGTTTGCATTCAAGTCACAGAGTTGAACATTCCCTTTCATAGAGCAGGTTTGAAACACTCTTTTTGTAGTATCTGGATGTGGACATTTGGAGCGCTTTCAGGCCTATGGTGAAAAAGGAAATATCTTCCCCTGAAAACTAGAGAGAAGAATTCTCAGAATCTTATTTGTAATGTGCGCCCTCAACTAACAGTGTTGAAGCTTTCTTTTGATAGAGCAGTTTTGAAACACTCTTTTTGTAAAATCTGAAAGAGGATATTTGGATAGCTTTGAGGATTTCGTTGGAAACGGGATTGTCTTCATATAAACTCTAGACAGAAGCATTCTCAGAAGCGTCATTGGGATGTTTCAATTGAAGTCACAGTGTTGAACAGTCCCTTTCATAGAGCAGGTTTGAAACACTCTTTTTGTAGTATCTGGATGTGGACATTTGGAGCGCTTTCAGGCCTATGGTTTAAAAGGAAATATCTTCCCCTGAAAACTAGACAGAAGCATTCTCAGAAACTTATTTGTGATGTGCGCCCTCAACTAACAGTGTTGAAGCATTCTTTTGATAGAGCAGTTTTGAAACACTCTTTTTGTGGAATCTGCAAGTGGATATTTGTCTAGCTTTGAGGATTTCGTTGGAAACGGGATTACATATAAAAAGCAGACAGCAGCATTCCCAGAAACTTCTTTGTGATGTTTGCATTCAAGTCACAGAGTTGAACATTCCCTTTCATAGAGCAGGTTTGAAACACTCTTTTTGTAGTATCTGGATGTGGACATTTGCAGCGCTTTCAGGCCTATGGTGAAAAAGGAAATATCTTCCCCTGAAAACTAGACAGAAGCATTCTCAGAATCTTATTTGTGATGTGCGCCCTCAACTAACAGTGTTGAAGCTTTCTTTTGATAGAGCAGTTTTGAAACACTCCTTTTGTAAAATCTGCAAGAGGATATTTGGATAGCTTTGAGGATTTCGTTGGAAACGGGATTGTCTTCATATAAACTCTAGACAGAAGCATTCTCAGAAGCTTCATTGGGATGTTTCAATTGAAGTCACAGTGTTGAACAGTCCCTTTCATAGAGCAGGTTTGAAACACTCTTTTTGTAGTATCTGGAAGTGGACATTTGGAGCGCTCTCAGGACTGCGGTGAAAAAGGAAATATCTTCCAATAAAAGCTAGATAGAAGCAATGTCAGAAACTTTTTCATGATGTATCTACTCAGCTAACAGAGTTGAACCTTTCTTTTGAGAGAGCAGTTTTGAAACACTCTTTTTGTGGAATCTGCAAGTGGATATTTGTCTAGCTTTGAGGATTTCGTTGGAAACGGGATTACATATAAAAAGCAGACAGCAGCATTCCCAGAAACTTCTTTGTGATGTTTGCATTCAAGTCACACAGTTGAACATTCCCTTTCATAGAGCAGGTTTGAAACACTCTTTTTGTAGTATCTGGAAGTGGACATTTGGAGCGCTCTCAGGACTGCGGTGAAAAAGGAAATATCTTCCAATAAAAGCTAGATAGAAGCAATGTCAGAAACTTTTTCATGATGTATCTACTCAGCTAACAGAGTTGAACCTTTCTTTTGAGAGAGCAGTTTTGAAACACTCTTTTTGTGGAATCTGCAAGTGGATATTTGTCTAGCTTTGAGGATTTCGTTGGAAACGGGATTACATATAAAAAGCAGACAGCAGCATTCCCAGTAACTTCTTTGTGATGTTCGCATTCAAGTCACAGAGTTGAACATTCCCTTTCATAGAGCAGGTTTGAAACACTCTTTTTGTAGTATCTGGATGTGGACATTTGGAGCGCTTTCAGGCCTATGGTGAAAAAGGAAATATCTTCCCCTGAAAACTACACAGAAGCATTCTCAGAATCTTATTTGTGATGTGCGCCCTCAACTAACAGTGTTGAAGCTTTCTTTTGATAGAGCAGTTTTGAAACACTCTTTTTGTAAAATCTGCAAGAGGATATTTGGATAGCTTTGAGGATTTCGTTGGAAACGGGATTGTCTTCATATAAACTCTAGACAGAAGCATTCTCAGAAGCTTCATTGGGATGTTTCAATTGAAGTCACAGTGTTGAACAGTCCCTTTCATAGAGCAGGTTTGAAACACACTTTTTGTAGTATCTGGATGTGGACATTTGGAGCGCTTTCAGGCCTATGGTTTAAAAGGAAATATCTTCCCCTGAAAACTAGACAGGAGCATTCTCAGAAACTTATTTGTGATGTGCGCCCTCAACAAACAGTGTTGTAGCATTCTTTTGATAGAGCAGTTTTGAAACACTCTTTTTGTGGAATCTGCAAGTGGATATTTGTCTAGCTTTCAGGATTTCGTTGGAAACGGGATTACATATAAAAAGCAGAAAGCAGCATTCCCAGAAACTTCTTTGTGATGTTTGCATTCAAGTCACAGAGTTGAACATTCCCTTTCATAGAGCAGGTTTGAAACACTCTTTTTGTAGTATCTGGATGTGGACATTTGGAGCGCTTTCAGGCCTATGGTGAAAAAGGAAATATCTTCCCCTGAAAACTAGACAGAAGCATTCTCAGAAACTTATTTGTGATGTGCGCCCTCAACTAACAGTGTTGAACCTTTCTTTTGATAGAGCAGTTTTGAAAAACTCTTTTTGTAATATCTGCAAGAGGATATTTGGATAGCTTTGAGGATTTCGTTGGAAACGGGATTACATATAAAAAGCAGACAGCAGCATTCCCAGAATCTTGTTTGTGATGTTTGCATTCAAGTCACAGAGTTGAACATTCCCTTTCATAGAGCAGGTTTGAAACACTCTTTTTATAGTATCTGGGTGTGGACATTTGGAGCGCTTTCAGGCCTATGGTGAAAAAGGATATATCTTCTCCTGAAAACTAGACAGAAGCATTCTCAGAATCTTATTCGTGATGTGCGCCCTCAACTAACAGTGTTGAAGCTTTCTTTTGATAGAGCAGTTTTGAAACACTCTTTTCGTAAAATCTGCAAGAGGATATTTTGATAGCTTTGAGGATTTCGTTGGAAACGGGATTGTCTTCATATAAACTCTAGACAGAAGCATTCTCAGAAGCTTCATTGGGATGTTTCAATTGAAGTCACAGTGTTGAACAGTCCCTTTCATAGAGCAGGTTTGAAACACTCTTTTTGTAGTATCTGGAAGTGGACATTTGGAGAGATCTCAGGAATTCGGTGATAAAGGAAATATCTTCCAATAAAAGCTAGATAGAAGCAATGTCAGAAACTTTTTCATGATGTATCTACTCAGCTAACAGAGTTGAACCTTTCTTTTGAGAGAGCAGTTTTGAAACACTCTTTTTGTGGAATCTGCAAGTGGATATTTGTCTAGCTTTGAGGATTTCGTTGGAAACGGGATTACATATAAAAAGCAGACAGCAGCATTCCCAGAAACTTCTTTGTGATGTTTGCATTCAAGTCACAGAGTTGAACATTCCCTTTCATAGAGCAGGTTTGAAACACTCTTTTTGTAGTATCTGGATGTGGACATTTGGAGCGCTTTCAGGCCTATGGTGAAAAAGGAAATATCTTCCCCTGAAAACTAGACAGAAGAATTCTCAGAATCTTATTTGTGATGTGCGCCCTCAACTAACAGTGTTGAAGCTTTCTTTTGATAGAGCAGTTTTGAAACACTCTTTTTGTAAAATCTGCAAGAGGATATTTGGATAGCCTTGAGGATTTCGTTGGAAACGGGATTGTCTTCATGTAAACTCTAGACAGAAGCATTCTCAGAAGCGTCATTGGGATGTTTCAATTGAAGTCACAGTGTTGAACAGTCCCTTTCATAGAGCAGGTTTGAAACACTCTTTTTGTAGTATCTGGATGTGGACATTTGGAGCGCTTTCAGGCCTATGGTTTAAAAGGAAATATCTTCCCCTGAAAACTAGACAGAAGCATTCTCAGAAACTTATTTGTGATGTGCGCCCTCAACTAACAGTGTTGAAGCATTCTTTTGATAGAGCAGTTTTGAAACACTCTTTTTGTGGAATCTGCAAGTGGATATTTGTCTAGCTTTGAGGATTTCGTTGGAAACGGGATTACATATAAAAAGCAGACAGCAGCATTCCCAGAAACTTCTTTGTGATGTTTGCATTCAATTCACAGAGTTGAACATTCCCTTTCATAGAGCAGGTTTGAAACACTCTTTTTGTAGTATCTGGATGTGGACATTTGGAGCGCTTTCAGGCCTACGGTGAAAAAGGAAATATCTTCCCCTGAAAACTAGACAGAAGCATTCTCAGAATCTTATTTGTGATGTGCGCCCTCAACTAACAGTGTTGAAGCTTTCTTTTGATAGAGCAGTTTTGAAACACTCTTTTTGTAAAATCTGCAAGAGGATATTTGGATAGCTTTGAGGATTTCGTTGGAAACGGGATTGTCTTCATATAAACTCTAGACAGAAGCATTCTCAGAAGCTTCATTGGGATGTTTCAATTGAAGTCACAGTGTTGAACAGTCCCTTTCATAGAGCAGGTTTGAAACACTCTTTTTGTAGTATCTGGAAGTGGACATTTGGAGCGCTCTCAGGACTGCGGTGAAAAAGGAAATATCTTCCAATAAAAGCTAGATTGAAGCAATGTCAGAAACTTTTTCATGATGTATCTACTCAGCTAACAGAGTTGAACCTTCCTTTGAGAGAGCAGTTTTGAAACACTCTTTTTGTGGAATCTGCAAGTGGATATTTGTCTAGCTTTGAGGATTTCGTTGGAAACGGGATTACATATAAAAAGCAGACAGCAGCATTCCCTGTAACTTCTTTGTGATGTTCGCATTCAAGTCACAGAGTTGAACATTCCCTTTCATAGAGCAGGTTTGAAACACTCTTTTTGTAGTATCTGGATGTGGACATTTGGAGCGCTTTCAGGCCTATGGTGAAAAAGGAAATATCTTCCCCTGAAAACTACACAGAAGCATTCTCAGAATCTTATTTGTGATGTGCGCCCTCAACTAACAGTGTTGAAGCTTTCTTTTGATAGAGCAGTTTTGAAACACTCTTTTTGTAAAATCTGCAAGAGGATATTTGGATAGCTTTGAGGATTTCGTTGGAAACGGGATTGTCTTCATATAAACTCTAGACAGAAGCATTCTCAGAAGCTTCATTGGGATGTTTCAATTGAAGTCACAGTGTTGAACAGTCCCTTTCATAGAGCAGGTTTGAAACACTCTTTTTGTAGTATCTGGATGTGGACATTTGGAGCGCTTTCAGGCCTATGGTTTAAAAGGAAATATCTTCCCCTGAAAACTAGACAGAAGCATTCTCAGAAACTTATTTGTGATGTGTGCCCTCAACAAACAGTGTTGTAGCATTCTTTTGATAGAGCAGTTTTGAAACACTCTTTTTGTGGAATCTGCAAGTGTATATTTGTCTAGCTTTGAGGATTTCGTTGGAAACGGGATTACATATAAAAAGCAGAAAGCAGCATTCCCAGAAACTTCTTTGTGATGTTTGCATTCAAGTCACAGAGTTGAACATTCCCTTTCATAGAGCAGGTTTGAAACACTCTTTTTGTAGTATCTGGATGTGGACATTTGGAGCGCTTTCAGGCCTATGGTGAAAAAGGAAATATCTTCCCCTGAAAACTAGACAGAAGCATTCTCAGAAACTTATTTGTGATGTGCGCCCTCAACTAACAGTGTTGAACCTTTCTTTTGATAGAGCAGTTTTGAAACACTCTTTTTGTAATATCTGCAAGAGGATATTTGGATAGATTTAAGGATTTCGTTGGAAACGGGATTACATATAAAAAGCAGACAGCAGCATTCCCAGAATCTTGTTTGTGATGTTTGCATTCACGTCACAGAGTTGAACATTCCCTTTCATAGAGCAGGTTTGAAACACTCTTTTTATAGTATCTGGATGTGGACATTTGGAGCGCTTTCAGGCCTATGGTGAAAAAGGATATATCTTCTCCTGAAAACTAGACAGAAGCATTCTCAGAATCTTATTTGTGATGTGCGCCCTCAACTAACAGTGTTGAAGCTTTCTTTTGATAGAGCAGTTTTGAAACACTCTTTTCGTAAAATCTGCAAGAGGATATTTTGATAGCTTTGAGGATTTCGTTGGAAACGGGATTGTCTTCATATAAACTCTAGACAGAAGCATTCTCAGAAGCTTCATTGGGATGTTTCAATTGAAGTCACAGTGTTGAACAGTCCCTTTCATAGAGCAGGTTTGAAACACTCTTTTTGTAGTATCTGGAAGTGGACATTTGGAGAGATCTCAGGAATACGGTGATAAAGGAAATATCTTCCAATAAAAGCTAGATAGAAGCAATGTCAGAAACTTTTTCATGATGTATCTACTCAGCTAACAGAGTTGAACCTTTCTTTTGAGAGAGCAGTTTTGAAACACTCTTTTTGTGGAATCTGCAAGTGGATATTTGTCTAGCTTTGAGGATTTCGTTGGAAACGGGATTACATATAAAAAGCAGACAGCAGCATTCCCAGAAACTTCTTTGTGATGTTTGCATTCAAGTCACAGAGTTGAACATTCCCTTTCATAGAGCAGGTTTGAAACACTCTTTTTGTAGTATCTGGATGTGGACATTTGGAGCGCTTTCAGGCCTATGGTGAAAAAGGAAATATCTTCCCCTGAAAACTAGACAGAAGAATTCTCAGAATCTTATTTGTGATGTGCGCCCTCAACTAACAGTGTTGAAGCTTTCTTTTGATAGAGCAGTTTTGAAACACTCTTTTTGTAAAATCTGCAAGAGGATATTTGGATAGCCTTGAGGATTTCGTTGGAAACGGTATTGTCTTCATATAAACTCTAGACAGAAGCATTCTCAGAAGCGTCATTGGGATGTTTCAATTGAAGTCACAGTGTTGAACAGTCCCTTTCATAGAGCAGGTTTGAAACACTCTTTTTGTAGTATCTGGATGTGGACATTTGGAGCGCTTTCAGGCCTATGGTTTAAAAGGAAATATCTTCCCCTGAAAACTAGACAGAGGCATTCTCAGAAACTTATTTGTGATGTGCGCCCTCAACTAACAGTGTTGAAGCATTCTTTTGATAGAGCAGTTTTGAAACACTCTTTTTGTGGAATCTGCAAGTGGATATTTGTCTAGCTTTGAGGATTTCGTTGGAAACGGGATTACATATAAAAAGCAGACAGCAGCATTCCCAGAAACTTCTTTGTGATGTTTGCATTCAAGTCACAGAGTTGAACATTCCCTTTCATAGAGCAGGTTTGAAACACTCTTTTTGTAGTATCTGGATGTGGACATTTGGAGCGCTTTCAGGCCTATGGTGAAAAAGGAAATATCTTCCCCTGAAAACTAGACAGAAGCATTCTCAGAATCTTATTTGTGATGTGCGCCCTCAACTAACAGTGTTGAAGCTTTCTTTTGATAGAGCAGTTTTGAAACACTCTTTTCGTAAAATCTGCAAGAGGATATTTTGATAGCTTTGAGGATTTCGTTGGAAACGGGATTGTCTTCATATAAACTCTAGACAGAAGCATTCTCAGAAGCTTCATTGGGATGTTTCAATTGAAGTCACAGTGTTGAACAGTCCCTTTCATAGAGCAGGTTTAAAACACTCTTTTTGTAGTATCTGGAAGTGGACATTTGGAGCACTCTCAGGACTATGGTGAAAAAGGAAATATCTTCCAATAAAAGCTAGATAGAAGCAATGTCAGAAACTTTTTCATGATGTATCTACTCAGCTAACAGAGTTGAACCTTTCCTTTGAGAGAGCAGTTTTGAAACACTCTTTTTGTGGAATCTGCAAGTGGATATTTGTCTAGCTTTGAGGATTTCGTTGGAAACGGGATTACATATAAAAAGCAGACAGCAGCATTCCCAGAAACTTCTTTGTGATGTTTGCATTCAAGTCACACAGTTGAACATTCCCTTTCATAGAGCAGGTTTGAAACACTCTTTTTGTAGTATCTGGATGTGGACATTTGGAGCGCTTTCAGGCCTATGGTGAAAAAGGAAATATCTTCCCCTGAAAACTAGACAGAAGCATTCTCAGAATCTTATTTGTGATGTGCGCCCTCAACTAACAGTGTTGAAGCTTTCTTTTGATAGAGCAGTTTTGAAACACTCTTTTTGTAAAATCTGCAAGAGGATATTTGGATAGCTTTGAGGATTTCGTTGGAAACGGGATTGTCTTCATATAAACTCTAGACAGAAGCATTCTCAGAAGCTTCATTGGGATGTTTCAATTGAAGTCACAGTGTTGAACAGTCCCTTTCATAGAGCAGGTTTGAAACACTCTTTTTGTAGTATCTGGATGTGGACATTTGGAGCGCTTTCAGGCCTATGGTTTAAAAGGAAATATCTTCCACTGAAAACTAGACAGAAGCATTCTCAGAAACTTATTTGTGATGTGCGCCCTCAACAAACAGTGTTGTAGCATTCTTTTGATAGAGCAGTTTTGAAACACTCTTTTTGTGGAATCTGCAAGTGGATATTTGTCTAGCTTTGAGGATTTCGTTGGAAACGGGATTACATATAAAAAGCAGAAAGCAGCATTCCCAGAATCTTCTTTGTGATGTTTGCATTCAAGTCACAGAGTTGAACATTCCCTTTCATAGAGCAGGTTTGAAACACTCTTTTTGTAGTATCTGGATGTGAACATTTGCAGCGCTTTCAGGCCTAAGGTGAAAAAGGAAGTATCTTCCCCTGAAAACTAGACAGAAGCATTCTCAGAAACTTATTTGTGATGTGCGCCCTCAACTAACAGTGTTGAAGCTTTCTTTTGATAGAGCAGTTTTGAAACACTCTTTTTGTAAAATCTGCAAGAGGATATTTGGATAGCTTTGAGGATTTCGTTGGAAACGGGATTGTCTTCATATAAACTCTAGACAGAAGCATTCTCAGAAGCTTCATTGGGATGTTTCAATTGAAGTCACAGTGTTGAACAGTCCCTTTCATAGAGCAGGTTTGAAACATTCTTTTTGTAGTATCTGGATGTGGACATTTGGAGCGCTTTCAGGCCTATGGTTTAAAAGGAAATATCTTCCCCTGAAAACTAGACAGAAGCATTCTCAGAAACTTATTTGTGATGTGCGCCCTCAACTAACAGTGTTGAAGCATTCTTTTGATAGAGCAGTTTTGAAACACTCTTTTTGTGGAATCTGCAAGTGGATATTTGTCTAGCTTTGAGGATTTCGTTGGAAACGGGATTACATATAAAAAGCAGACAGCAGCATTCCCAGAAACTTCTTTGTGATGTTTGCATTCAAGTCACAGAGTTGAACATTCCCTTTCATAGAGCAGGTTTGAAACACTCTTTTTGTAGTATCTGGATGTGGACATTTGGAGCGCTTTCAGGCCTATGGTGAAAAAGGAAATATCTTCCCCTGAAAACTAGACAGAAGAATTCTCAGAATCTTATTTGTGATGTGCGCCCTCAACTAACAGTGTTGAAGCTTTCTTTTGATAGAGCAGTTTTGAAACACTCTTTTTGTAATATCTGCAAGAGGATATTTGGATAGCCTTGAGGATTTCGTTGGAAACGGGATTGTCTTCATATAAACTCTAGACAGAAGCATTCTCAGAAGCGTCATTGGGATGTTTCAATTGAAGTCACAGTGTTGAACAGTCCCTTTCATAGAGCAGGTTTGAAACACTCTTTTTGTAGTATCTGGATGTGGACATTTGGAGCGCTTTCAGGCCTATGGTTTAAAAGGAAATATCTTCCCCTGAAAACTAGACAGAAGCATTCTCAGAAACTTATTTGTGATGTGCGCCCTCAACTAACAGTGTTGAAGCATTCTTTTGATAGAGCAGTTTTGAAACACTCTTTTTGTGGAATCTGCAAGTGGATATTTGTCTAGCTTTGAGGATTTCGTTGGAAACGGGATTACATATAAAAAGCAGACAGCAGCATTCCCAGAAACTTCTTTGTGATGTTTGCATTCAATTCACAGAGTTGAACATTCCCTTTCATAGAGCAGGTTTGAAACACTCTTTTTGTAGTATCTGGATGTGGACATTTGGAGCGCTTTCAGGCCTATGGTGAAAAAGGAAATATCTTCCCCTGAAAACTAGACAGAAGCATTCTCAGAATCTTATTTGTGATGTGCGCCCTCAACTAACAGTGTTGAAGCTTTCTTTTGATAGAGCAGTTTTGAAACACTCTTTTTGTAAAATCTGCAAGAGGATATTTGGATAGCTTTGAGGATTTCGTTGGAAACGGGATTGTCTTCATATAAACTCTAGACAGAAGCATTCTCAGAAGCTTCATTGGGATGTTTCAATTGAAGTCACAGTGTTGAACAGTCCCTTTCATAGAGCAGGTTTGAAACACTCTTTTTGTAGTATCTGGAAGTGGACATTTGGAGCGCTCTCAGGACTGCGGTGAAAAAGGAAATATCTTCCAATAAAAGCTAGATAGAAGCAATGTCAGAAACTTTTTCATGATGTATCTACTCAGCTAACAGAGTTGAACCTTCCTTTGAGAGAGCAGTTTTGAAACACTCTTTTTGTGGAATCTGCAAGTGGATATTTGTCTAGCTTTGAGGATTTCGTTGGAAACCGGATTACATATAAAAAGCAGACAGCAGCATTCCCAGAAACTTCTTTGTGAGGTTTGCATTCAAGTCACAGAGTTGAACATTCCCTTTCATAGAGCAGGTTTGAAACACTCTTTTTGTAGTATCTGGATGTGGACATTTGCAGCGCTTTCAGGCCTAAGGTGAAAAAGGAAATATCTTCCCCTGAAAACTAGACAGAAGCATTCTCAGAAACTTATTTGTGATGTGCGCCCTCAACTAACAGTGTTGAAGCTTTCTTTTGATAGAGCAGTTTTGAAACACTCTTTTTGTAATATCTGCAAGAGGATATTAGGATAGCTTTGAGGATTTCGTTGGAAACGGGATTGTCTTCATATAAACTCTAGACAGAAGCATTCTCAGAAGCTTCATTGGGATGTTTCAATTGAAGTCACAGTGTTGAACAGTTCCTTTCATAGAACAGGTTTGAAACACTCTTTTTGTAGTATCTGGAAGTGGACATTTGGAGCACTCTCAGGACTATGGTGAAAAAGGAAATATCTTCCAATAAAAGCTACATAGAAGCAATGTCAGAAACTTTTTCATGATGTATCTACTCAGCTAACAGAGTTGAACCTTTCCTTTGAGAGAGCAGTTTTGAAACACTCTTTTTGTGGAATCTGCAAGTGGATATTTGTCTAGCTTTGAGGATTTCGTTGGAAACGGGATTACATATAAAAAGCAGACAGCAGCATTCCCAGTAACTTCTTTGTGATGTTCGCATTCAAGTCACAGAGTTGAACATTCCCTTTCATAGAGCAGGTTTGAAACACTCTTTTTGTAGTATCTGGATGTGGACATTTGGAGCGCTTTCAGGCCTATGGTGAAAAAGGAAATATCTTCCCCTGAAAACTACACAGAAGCATTCTCAGAATCTTATTTGTGATGTGCGCCCTCAACTAACAGTGTTGAAGCTTTCTTTTGATAGAGCAGTTTTGAAACACTCTTTTTGTAAAATCTGCAAGAGGATATTTGGATAGCTTTGAGGATTTCGTTGGAAACGGGATTGTCTTCATATAAACTCTAGACAGAAGCATTCTCAGAAGCTTCATTGGGATGTTTCAATTGAAGTCACAGTGTTGAACAGTCCCTTTCATAGAGCAGGTTTGAAACACTCTTTTTGTAGTATCTGGATGTGGACATTTGGAGCTCTTTCAGGCCTATGGTTTAAAAGGAAATATCTTCCCCTGAAAACTAGACAGAAGCATTCTCAGAAACTTATTTGTGATGTGCGCCCTCAACAAACAGTGTTGTAGCATTCTTTTGATAGAGCAGTTTTGAAACACTCTTTTTGTGGAATCTGCAAGTGGATATTTGTCTAGCTTTCAGGATTTCGTTGGAAACGGGATTACATATAAAAAGCAGAAAGCAGCATTCCCAGAAACTTCTTTGTGATGTTTGCATTCAAGTCACAGAGTTGAACATTCCCTTTCATAGAGCAGGTTTGAAACACTCTTTTTGTAGTATCTGGATGTGGACATTTGGAGCGCTTTCAGGCCTATGGTGAAAAAGGAAATATCTTCCCCTGAAAACTAGACAGAAGCATTCTCAGAAACTTATTTGTGATGTGCGCCCTCAACTAACAGTGTTGAACCTTTCTTTTGATAGAGCAGTTTTGAAACACTCTTTTTGTAATATCTGCAAGAGGATATTTGGATAGATTTGAGGATTTCGTTGGAAACGGGATTACATATAAAAAGCAGACAGCAGCATTCCCAGAATCTTGTTTGTGATGTTTGCATTCAAGTCACAGAGTTGAACATTCCCTTTCATAGAGCAGGTTTGAAACACTCTTTTTATAGTATCTGGATGTGGACATTTGGAGCGCTTTCAGGCCTATGGTGAAAAAGGATATATCTTCTCCTGAAAACTAGACAGAAGCATTCTCAGAATCTTATTTGTGATGTGCGCCCTCAACTAACAGTGTTGAAGCTTTCTTTTGATAGAGCAGTTTTGAAACACTCTTTTCGTAAAATCTGCAAGAGGATATTTTGATAGCTTTGAGGATTTCGTTGGAAACGGGATTGTCTTCATATAAACTCTACACAGAAGCATTCTCAGAAGCTTCATTGGGATGTTTCAATTGAAGTCACAGTGTTGAACAGTCCCTTTCATAGAGCAGGTTTGAAACACTCTTTTTGTAGTATCTGGAAGTGGACATTTGGAGAGATCTCAGGAATACGGTGATAAAGGAAATATCTTCCAATAAAAGCTAGATAGAAGCAATGTCAGAAACTTTTTCATGATGTATCTACTCAGCTAACAGAGTTGAACCTTTCTTTTGAGAGAGCAGTTTTGAAACACTCTTTTTGTGGAATCTGCAAGTGGATATTTGTCTAGCTTTGAGGATTTCGTTGGAAACGGGATTACATATAAAAAGCAGACAGCAGCATTCCCAGAAACTTCTTTGTGATGTTTGCATTCAAGTCACAGAGTTGAACATTCCCTTTCATAGAGCAGGTTTGAAACACTCTTTTTGTAGTATCTGGATGTGGACATTTGGAGCGCTTTCAGGCCTATGGTGAAAAAGGAAATATCTTCCCCTGAAAACTAGACAGAAGAATTC